>NC_000006.12:64428564-64731594 GCF_000001405.40 Homo sapiens | reverse complement strand
TCTGCATTTCTCTAATAACCAGTGAAGATGAGCTTTTTTTCATATGTTTGTTGCCTGCATAAATTTCTTCTTTTGAGAAGTGTTTGTTCCTGTCCTTCGCCCACTTTTTGATAGCATTGTATTTTTCTTGTACATTTGTTTAAGTTCCTTGTAGATTCTGGATATTAGCCCTTTGTCAGATGGATTGCAAAAATGTTTTCCCATTCTGTAGGCTGCCCGTTCACTGTAATGATAGTTTTTTGTTTTTTGTTTTTTTGTTTGTTTGTTTTTGGTTTTGTTTTTTGCTGTGCAGAAGCTCTTAGTTTAATTAGATCCCATATGTCAACTGGGGCTTTTGTTGCAATTGCTTTTGGTGTTTTAGTCATGTAGTCTTTGCCCATGCCTATGTCCTGGATGGTATTGCCTAGGATTTCTTCTAGGGTTTTTATGGTTTTATGTATTACATTTAAGTATTTAATCTATCTTGAGTTAATTTTTGTATAAGGTATAAGGAAGGGGTCCAGTTTCATTATGCTTTATTTTTAAAGAGAAAGTAAATAGTTATCTTGTTCATGTAAAAGATGAGGTTATTTGATAAAATCTATGATTTTCTTTTCTCCAAGATGAAACTGTAGTTGCCCTATGTTAAAAACAGGAAAGCAGAAGTAAATGGATCCTAGACATTGAATTGCCTGCCCCAAATGAATCCTCGAATTTACGTTAAGATCACATTTTGGAATTAATCTTAACAAGACTAAGAGTTTGTAGTATTACTAATATAAATAACATCGAATTTTCAGACAGTTTGCTCTTGTCACCATCATCTTTGTTATTGATACACGCCGGGCATGGTGGCTCATGGCTGTAATCCCAACACTTTGGGAGGCCGAGGCAGGCTGATCACTAGGTCAAGAGATGGAGACCATCCTGGCCAACATGGAGAAAACTCGTCTCTACTAAAAATATAAAAATTAGCTGGGCATGGTGGTGCGTGCCTGTAGTCCTAGCTACTCGGAGGCTGAGGCAGGAGAATTGCTTGAACCTGGGAGGCTGAGGTTGCAGTGAGCCAAGATCGCGCCACTGCACTCCAGCCTGGCGAGAGAGCAGGATGCCCATCTCAAAAAAAATAAATAAGTAAAAGTAAAAGTTGTTTGTGCTCTTCTCCAAGATATTCAGTCATGCAATCTCCTTATCCCATGTTGGCAAATATAGGTCATCTAGCACAAGTGCCTTTGTTTGCTATCTATCTTGTCATTTCAACATATCTAGGTGATCACAGCTTCCTTATGTCTTTAGAACTTATCTGTAACATTACTCTTTTCTTCCTCCTGTCTCAGAGTAAGTTTGTTTCCTCTCTTTCACTTTGTGCAGAGTGTCATTCACAACTCAGCTGAGCCAAAGCTTTGTTTGAAATCAGTTAATAAGTCCCTCCCTTGCATTTTAGGGCTCTTGCTTCATTGATATTTCTCTTCTAATTGTAAATATATTTAGATCATTTATTCCTTTAAAGAAAAAAAGAAACAAAAATTTAACAAGGCTTCCATTTTCTAATACCCCTTCAAGCTTCACTCTTAGTTTTTCCTTCCTTTCACCAATAACATTCCTAAGATTTTTCTATATTTGTCATTTTCCTTTTATATTTTCTCACTGGATGCTTTACTTTTCAAAATCTTCTGTTATTAATGTCTTTACATGCATAACAAAACTAAACTTTCACCTGTACAACTATTTTACCAGTTAAACCAATAGTTTCACAATTAAGTAACTTTTAAAATTATTTCTTCTCCTTGTGTATTGATGAAATGCTTTTATTCCTTGGTGTATCAGTCGTTTGTATCCATAATAACATTGTGTAAAAAAAAAATCAAAACTCATTGGCATGTATTAGGTTGGTGCAAAAGTTATTGCGGTTTTTACCATTACTTTTACGGACAAAAAAACATGATTACTTTTATACCAAACTACTTACCAACCTGCTTGCCAATAAGCATCCATTTCTTACTCATCTATGGGTTGACATGAGTTCAGCTACTTTAGATTTGGCGCAATTAGGCTTGCTTTCTAGCTGTGAACTACATTCACTTGTTTCTCATCCTTCTTAAAACTGAAGATAGCTGAGACATATCCTTTTTATGAAAAAAAGATCAAAGTGCAGGAGACCAAGTCAAATCACACAAGCACATTTCAAATTCTACTCACATAATTTCCACTATCATCCCATTAGAAAAAGCAAGTCACATAGCCACGTTCAACATCAATTGGGTAGGGAATATATTCCTTTCACAGAAGGGGATAGAAAGTGAATACTTGTTAAGCAATAATATAATTTATCTCACTTGGGTTTCTTGATACAATACAGCCTTAGTAGTGATAAGGATAGGAGGCAGGGAAATTCTGGGCAGAAGAGGGCAGGTCTTTGGCAAGGGTCCCACCCTCAAACCTGGAACCGTGGCCCAATGTGAGAACATGTATTCCTGTTTTCCCACTCGAATGTTGCCTTTTCCAAAACCACCTATGGCCCACTCTTCCCCCAATCCTGTGCCCATAAAAACCCCAGGCTCCATCAGCAGAGAGCAGAGAAGAGAAGCAACTGGATATCCAAGAGAAGCAGCTTGACTTCAAAGAGACAACTTGACAACGTGGCTTCAGAGAGGAGTCTGGCCAAGGACTGCTGAACTCCAGGGGAGGATTGCCCTCCCACTCCATCTGCTTTCCAGCTCCCCTCCCCACAGAGAGCCATTTTCATCAGCAATAAAATCCTCCACATTCACCACCCTCCAATTCGTTAGTAAGACCTGATTTTTCCTGGACACTGAACAAGAGCTCAGGAGCCATGGGTGCAGACAGTGAAGACTGTCACACTGACTCTTTGCCCTTGCTGGTGGAGAGCAACCACCACACGTGAAAAGGCAGGGGGCCCACTGAGCTGTTTAAGACTTAAGCTGTCCACAGATGGCAAAACTAAAAGAACACTGTAACATGGCTGGTCGCGGTGGCTCACACCTATAATCTCAGCACTCTGGGAGGTCAAGGTGGGCAGATCACGAGGTCAGGAGATAGAGACCATCCTGGATAATGCGGTGAAACCCCACCTCTACTAAAAATACAAAAAAATTAGTCAGGCATGGTGGCGGGCGCCTGTAGCCCCAGCTACTCAGGAGGCTAAGGCAGGAGAATGGGGTGAACCCGGGAGGCAGAGCTTGCAGTGAGCCGAGATTGTGCCACTGCACTCCAGCCTGGGCGACAGAGCAAGACTCCATCTCAAAAAAATAAAAAATAAATAAAAAGAGAAGAAACATTGAATTAGGTATTTAAAGCTATTAGTATTTATTAGTTTACATTTTTTTTTTACACAGGTTTAAAACAAAACAAAAAAACACTGTAACTCACATCCTCTGGGGCTTCAGGGGTCATGGGTACTCCTCACTAGACACTGCCACAGGGTCCGCACAAAGTTTTGCTCCTGCCAATGCCCAAAAGCACTTGCCCTGGCTCCTGCACCTGTTCACCTGCACTCCCCTCCTCAAGGGGTGGAATGCAGTGAGACTGAGCCAGGGGAGTCCACCCCTGCCGCCCCGAAGAAGCAGCCAGCTAGTTCCAGTGCCCATGCATTCCAGTTTCCACCCGTGAAGGGGTCAGGGAAATTTCCTGCTTCAGTAGTGGTTTCAATTGTATCTTCAGATAGAATTAGAAGTGATGATGTAGCTGACAGGAATCATGGTACCTAGGTAGGTTGTTTTGGACAAAGTACTTATTAGGCTACTTTGTAAAGAAACAACTTATTCCTCTGAGTTATTTTACAAAATCTATGTCATCACCTTTGGTTCAGTAACCATAAATGAAGTCCATACTATGTTCTAGGATTGGGTCACTGTCTAAACATTGTGTTATGAGATTGTGTGCTAAGATGTTGTTGGCTAAGATGATTAATTAATTAGGGTTTCTTTGTAAATATAAAAACAAGACTCACCTTTACTTTTCACTATTTAATTCAACTGATATTTTTATCTTCATTCACAAGAAATTCAAGGATTGTTTTTCCGGAAAATAATTATATAGTTTACTACTTGTAACACATTTAAAGAGAAAAAAGTAGCTTCAATAACATGTGTTCCCTGAGGAACTGGTAGGTGATATGGCTACCGTTTGATGATAGGTCAGTGCAGGAGAGTTGAGATTCATGAGTAAACTTGTAAACAGCTGGTAACCCATGGTTTATATGTATGCAAAGAAATAAAACAAACTAAAAGTCTAATAAATTTTTTAAGTACCAGAATTCCATGCTTTGTGCAAGTGAGAAAACTGAAGGAAATTGTATCTCTGAAAAAAAGCATAATTACGCAATGCAGAAATATGAGCATCGTCCCACCTCCAAGATAAAACTTTAAGAATTTAATATGTCTAATTCCTCAGTCTTATGAGTGGCTTCTTCTAAAGAGCGTATCGATAGCTTGATGAAAACAAGCTTCAAATTATTTATTTACATTTGTTGGCAATTAAAAATTATATGTACAAAACATTACACTTATATTTTTGTATCCATATTCCTCTGGAGAGAATTTCAGTAACATCAGTATGCCACCCATCACTTTGCTCACCATTCGGTGACAGGATTCCTTGCATTTGCTAAAAAGTAAGATTACTGTAGTGCAAATTACACATGCATGCTCAGTTGCAATTTTTCTCTGTGTGAGGTTCTTAAGTGCATGTTATTCATTGTTTATGAAATGTTTCATTTGTAAGTCTGTTTTGAAAGCCTGAAATGGAACATTATGTTTCTATGGAGCCCTGTCTTATAGATTTTGTTTTCGTTCTACAGGAATTATATTTTAAATATTATATCTGCTTTCGGCTATGTTTTCTTGCACATCCTTCTATAAATCTTAATGTATTACTATCACTCATGTGAAACAATCATTAACTCCATTGAATAGGGTTATAGAATTGAATTCTACAAAAAGACTTTTCTGGTTGAATTAGTCAGGGATAAATTCTTCTATTTATCATAGAATAAAAGTGTTCTTTACAAGAGCATTTCCAACTGAATCTCTTCTTTTTCTATCTGAACATTTTGGTAGAAATATACCATGACAGAACTTTAAACAATATAGTTTTATAATATCTATCTATAGTTAGCTACTAAGTCATGAGCCATATTTATTTAAATAAGATACATAGATCATGTTTGCATATTTAAAAGATTAGAGAATTTTACTTGATTCAATAAATATTTATAAACTCCAGTGCTAGGCAATGTGTGAAATATTGAGATTCAAGTATGAATTAGATATTCTTTGCCCTCCAGAATCTCATTTACATGCAGGCATGTAAATTGTTAAAAGACATTCATCACACATCATAACATCCAAATAATTAGAATTTCTAGAAAAAGAGGTGATGTGGGGGAAAGAGTGTATAGAGCAAGGCTCATAAAAGAAGAGTGAGATTTGAATTGGGCCCTCGAGGGTTGGTTGAATTTTGTTTGGCAGAGAAGAAGATGAAAGACAACTTATAAAGAAGGAAAAGAATGAGGGAGACAAAAGTCTTGGATATTGTCAAGTCAACATACTTGGGAAGAATAGGGGTATTTTTGAACCTGTAACATTAAGTGTTCATTATAAATGGAACATGTTGAAACACTTTTGTTTACATTGCATAGTGATAAAGGTTTTGGGTTTAATTTGTAGGCATTAGAAGGCCACCTAAATGTATCAGCAATGTAGCTACATGATTAATTTTATGTTTTATGAGGAGAGCTCTCAGGAAATTGTAGGATGTAAAAACAGAAGAAGGAAAAAGCTTGATTAAACAGAAGAGGTTGATTAAACAGTTACTGAAGGTGAAATCAATAAGACATGGATATAAAATGAACGTTGAGGATGAAGTAGAATCAATGATGACTCCTGCTTCCTCTGTGCTGGAGGTCTTGGTGGATGGTGATGCTGTTTAGTTCTGAAATAAGACTTGGAGGAGTAAGTCAGAGGACACTTTGAAGTCAAAATGACAATGATTATTTTTATTTGCCTGAATAGATGAGTTAAATTTAATATTGTATTCATAATAGGGCTAGGGCATATGAATATTTTGACTCTTATTTTAGCAGTCCTTCATTTCTCTAGGAAGATAAACCAGTTGAGCTCATAATGCCTTAAATCATTGCTTCTCTGAGTCTGAGTAAATAAGTCAATAAGATATGATACTTTGGGGGATTAGCCCCTATTCTGATGGGTGGGAAGGGGTTGGGCTGGGAGAACACGATAGGAAAGTAACTCAAAACATGAAACCCTCTCCTCAATGAGTGGAATGAATGAATGAATCAAATGTCATTTGATTACCCATTTCTACTACAATAACTTTCTGCTTGGATATAAGGAATTGTAGGACTTACTGGACTTATTGTCAAGAACATCGTGGTCCAAAGGGAACTATTAATATCCTACATATTACAAGCAACATCTATATTAGAGAGGATCTTAAATGTAAGATTTTCCCATCTGTGACCAGAAATGGGTGGTTAGAGGGAAGAAGCATTCTGTGTTATCTCTTCTTTTACTTTCTTCTTTATTTATTAACCCTAATAAATATACACTTTTACATTTTTGGTGTATTTTGGAGTTTTTGTTTGATTTGTTTTTTCATTTTTGTTAAGTTTCTAGAGTTGAAATTCTTAGTCAGCTTATTTGGGTATACTAGAAAAGATTTTGAGATTAAGTTGTTCTTTCCATAATTTCTATAGCAAAATTTGAAGCCACCTTTTACAAATTATTTTTCTTAAAAGTGGTATATTACTTGTATTATTAGAATGTTACCTATTTGTTTTAATTTTGAAGTCATTATTGACTCACAAATGCTATTTTTTAACCTTTATTAAATGGTTTCATCCTTTCAGTGCATATCAGATGATGTATATAATAATACATAAAAATACTGAATTCATTTTGAAGTTATTCTGATACCTTTCTAAAGATTCTATAGTTTTCCCACTCAACATTAATGCTTTGTGTTAGCATGTGAAATTTCAAAATAAATCTGACTTCAGATGTAAACTATTCTTTATAGAAAAATAGGATTGTATGTTTTATGATGTTTGAGCAGCACATGGCTTTAGTGGTTTAAGGTGATAGCATATCAAACACATATTAGGCTAAGAGTCTGTGAAATATGAAGGCAGACATACTTCCATTTGCACCATGGACTTTTTGCTTAACATTAAAAATCTACATTAGTGATTTAACGTTGAAAGCTATCCAAAGCAGTTTCTTTTACAGCAATGTTCTGTCACCTGCTTGGCTAGCAGGCAAGGCAAAAGAAACTGTCAAAACTGCACATGCTTTGAGAGGCTGGCAGGCAAAAGAAATATAACACAACACTGCAGATTGGGTTTTCTGTAAGTGGCTCAGCCTGAATGGGTTAGAGAACTAGTGTATAACCGACTTTACCTACAATCGCTTAAATCAGCTCCTCAAGTTTACTATCAAATCAGCACTAAATATGTTCTCACTATAGCAGTTTCCTTGTATTAAATGTTAAAACAACAAAAAAAAAAACAACAATGATTATAACATTATGAGACATTAAGAGTCTCAAACAAATCCTCTGTGATTGATGTGTTAGCAGATGGAGGCTGATAGAAGTGGGACCACCAGGAGGTTATGGTTAAGGAGAGTGTCAAGTAGTGGAACAGGGCTGTATCTGATGATAAGCACAGATCCAAGACTGCTGACCACTAGGCACAGTGCAGTGATGAGGCTAAAACTGCTGAGGCTACTCACTAGGAACATAGAGTTAACAGGGTGAGGCTGTGACAAAACCCATGGAAGATCCACAAACGATCACCTACAAATTTCCTCAGACTAATGAGGGAATGGCAAGCCATGCCACACCTCCAGGCTTTCAGCGATGCTCACACAAGCATATAGCAATTCATTCTGCAGGACCATCTTCAAAGAGGAAGGATATTGATTTATAGAAAATGCTATTAGACATAAAGGATAATGACACATAGATCACGGATGCTGCATCAACATATGGAAGAGTTCTTGCATCAGCAAATAAAAGGGATCAATAATGTGAAGAGAGTGGGCGTAAGATTTATTAGGAGGCTTTATTGCCTTGTGATTTATGCATCACTACAGATGGCAGTGATGTAGTATAATTTTCACAAATATGATGCAATAAAGATTATTAAAGCATCCTGCAGTGCCGTTTTTAGTTTCATCTATACACATAAAATATCTCTGAGAACTCTGTCCTTTACAAAAACAACATAGAGACATTCTTCATTTCTGGTATTTTTTCCTACTGTTGGGTTTCTTCTGAAAGCATTTAGGTATTTGTCTCGTTTTCCTGTTGTAAATGCACATGTGACTGACAAGGATAATGACAAGGAATGTTTCACAGGTAAGGCTCATAAGTCATTATGGCAAAGTTGTTAAGAGCATGGACTACACAGATGGAATGTCTGCCTCGATGTGTCCACTCTGCCCATGCTCACTGTGTGTTCTTAAACCAGTTTCTTTTTTTTTTTTCCTTAGGGCCTTTCTTTCCCCTTCTGAAACCTTCAGTATGAAGCCATTATGTTTTACCCTTTCCAGGTTTTAACATAAGGGGTTGCTGCTACAGATATACTGACCTAAAAGTATTAAGAATGTGAAGGACAAGTGTATTTTTAAGCTATACTTGAGAGTGTCCCTGTGATAACAATACGGAAGCCTAGCATAACATCAGGCGAATAACACAGTCACTTTTTGAAAGAAAAAGGGGTAATCCTTTATATAACTTATTCATGTTCTAAAGAATCTATCACTTTTTAGATTTGTTTAAATAGAATTATATCTGAAAACAATGGTAGTTACAAGATGTTAATGGCCAAGGAAATTCAAATACCTGTGTCAAAAAGAGACCTTGTTTTCTAGGATTATTTTAAGAAACAGTGTTAATGAAATGTATTTCCTTTGTAGCTGTGAAAAAAATTAGTTTTACTTTAAGGGATGTTGTATATTTATGTAAAGTATAATAGCATTTAAATCTAGCCCTGTATTGTTCAAATGACCATTTTGAATGGATTCAGATGGGTTAGTTTCTGGTTTTTTTTTTTTTCAAATAATTTACTGAAAATACTATTTTACAGGTGGTAGAATGTTGTCTTCCTTTGCTTTGTTTTCACATTATCCCTCCTCTTCTCTTCGTTTTATCAAGTCTGCTAACACTACTGACCATTTCCCATACTCTGTTGCCTTGGGCTGTGTAAAATTAACTATGTATCAGCTGAGCACACATTCAATTATATTTTTCTCATTTTTTACTGCCCAGGATTCTGATTTCTGAACTGTCAGATCCATCTTCTTTCTTGTCAAAATATCTTTTGACTTTATTATATACAGTCTCACCATCTGTCACACTGACAACCGTAATATATACGATTTCTTTTAGACCATTTCCATCATTAAAATTCTCTTTTCTTTCCTACCTAAATCAGATCCTTTTTCCCTGCATCACAAACTGAAATCTTCAACTTTTGAGCTACTTCTATTCTACTGTACAGTTTATTATGTTGAAACATTTACAGCCCAGTTGACAACACTTCAGCTTCTCTCTAAATCCATGATTTATTTTATTTGTGCAACATACATTACTCTGGAAACAGTGTAATGTTTGAATAAACTGACTGCATTTACTGGGTGTTAGACTCTAGGAAATCATCTTCATGAAATCAGTTTTGTTCCAAATATCATCTGGTTCCAACTGAAGCCCTACAAATGTAAGGCCTAGATGCGATGGAACTAAAATTCAAACTAACAATAAGCAAACTAAAACCAAGATTTCAATGTGGTGATTATACTGGCCAATCATTATTCTATAAAAATGATTCTTAGTACTTTAAACATTTTAGCTAAATAATCTCTAAAGTTCTCTTTTGGGCTTATCGTGCTATTCTTGTTTCATAAACAGGAAAATTGATTTTCCCTCATTTTCAGAAAAATGACAGAGTAGAATAAATTAAAGGAAAGTCAAGTTATTCCTTGGAATATAAGTTTTTTGAAGAAAGGGGATTTATTTTGTGTACTGATGTAAGAGTGCCCCACCCATTTGAGGCCATCAATAAATATTAGTTAAAAGATGGAATTAATGTTCTCAAAGAATAAATCTCATTTCCTGCTCTAGGATTTTCCACTTCCTCCACCAAAGATTCTTTTCTTGAAATACTCTTGAGTCTTTATCTCTCACCTCCTTTTTATTTGCTCAGATACTTTCTCAGCAAAGCATCTGACTCTGGCCACCATAGTTAAAATTGCAGTTTCCTTTGGAACCTTCCTGCCCCTAGCCCCACTTTCCTGCCTTTTTTCACTCTCCTGTAGCACTATCATTAAGTGACATATTATACTGTCCTTGTTTTATTATTTATTTACTTACTGCTCAGCTATCTTATTGAATTGTGAGCTCCATAAAGACAGATATTTGTGTTAGCCTTTGTTGTTCCTGTTGTTCTTGTTTCTGGTCCTACTAAATCCCCAGGCCCAGAATAGAGCCTGGCACTTTGTAGACACTTGATAATTAGTTGTAGAATAAAAGTGTAAGTTGGAATATTTGGCTTAGAGAATATAAAAACACCTTATTACTTATTTTCAGTTTACAGAGCACTAACTGGTTTTAGATCTCAAAACATGCTTAATAATATGGCATGCTTATGATGCATATTTTAGGCTTTCATAAAAAAATGCAGATGTTTGCACATTTAGAAAATTAAACACCAAAAGAGGCACCATAAATCATTTTGAAAAATAAATGTCTAAATAGATAGGTAGTTATATGGATGGATAGATTGATAAAGAGAAAGATAGACTGGTATGTGTGTGTGTTGTTTGTAGAACAACTGGAATAATATTGGAGGAGTCCAAAAACACAGTATTTTTGTTTTTTCCCCCTCACTAGTATAGTCTTCACCTGGAACCTTTCTTCCAGCCTATTGTCTCATTAATGAGGTTCTATCTACTCATGTCCTGAAGCAAAAAGAGACTCTAGGGGATGGAAAACTGCAAGAATATATGATTTAAGAGAAATAGCTGGAATGGAACTGTTATAATTATTTAAGAAATCATGTGTTCCATTAGAAATATATTTGTTTCTGGCTGTGGGAAGCAGAATGATGGCCCTCCCAAAATGTCTAAATCCTAATACCAAGAACCTGTGAATATTCTACTTTACAGGGCACAGGGAAATTTACTTAAGGATTAAGTTAAGGATATTGAGATGGGGAGATTGTCCTGGATAATCTGGGTAGAACTGATGTAATCATAAGGACCCTCATAAGAAGGATGCAGGAAGGAAAAGGTGAGAGAAGGAGATGTGATGAAGGAAGCAGAGGTTAGAGAAGGATGTGAAGATGCTGCACTGCTGGCTTTGAAGAGGGAGGAAGGAGCTATAAGCTAACAGCTGCTGGCAGCCTGTAGAAGCTGGAAAAGGTGAGGAAGTAGATTCTATCTTAGTGCCTCCAGTAGTAGCCCTATGCCCTCTGATACATTGACTTTATACCAGTGAGACCCATTTTCAACTTCAGACCTCCAGAACTGGGAGACAATACATTTGTATTGTTTCAAGACACTAGTGTTTTAGTAATTTGTTACAGCAGTAATAGGACACTAACATATAGGTTTAAACCTTTTATGGTCTTTCTAACGGCAAGACTTGGAGTTGACATACTATTTATTTATTTTCGAGATGGAGTCTCACTCTGTCACCCAGGTTGGAGTGCTGTGGTGCAATCTCGGCTCACTGCAGCCTCCACCTCCCAGGTTCAAGAAATTCTCTTGCCTCAGCCTCCCGTTCTGGGACTATAGGCATGCGCACCATGCCTGGCTAATTTTTGTATTTTTAGTAGAGACGGGGTTTTCCCACGTTGGCCAGGCTGGTGGAGAACTCCTGACTTCCAGTGATTCACCTGCCTCAGCCTCCCGAAGTATATACAAATATTTAACAAAGTTTAGCGACATATAAAGAAAGACTGGCCCAAAACACATTTGTGAGGCAAATGGAGTTTGCCTGCAACATCTCTCCTTCTTGCCAAGGTTTCTCTCTCAGGAATTTTTCTTTTGTTCCTTTCATGCTGCTCTTAAGGTAGTAACTGATGACTGACTTGTTAACTTAAAAACTTAAAATATAACATTTTTAGTTTAAAATGATATTTTTCCCAATAGCAATGTACTCTTCCCTTAATAAAAATAGAAATATTTAATAGCAATAAAACTTACATTTTCTATTGTTCCCATAATAAATTACCCAAAAGTTCACAGTTTAAAACATATCCCAGAACTCCGTAGGTCAGAAGTATGGATGGACTTGTTTTGCTTCTCCATTTCAGGTTGGGAAAGGCCCAAATCAAGGTGTCAGCTAGCTAGGAAGAATCTGGTTCTAACCTCATTGAGGTTAAGGGAAAAATCTAATTTCCTTTTCCTTGCTGACTGTTATCCTGGAGCCTGTCCGTAAAGACTCCTACATTCCCACATCACTTGCCCGCCTTCATCTTCAAATCAGCAATGGCTTGTCAAGAATTTCAAATCTCACTGAATTTTCCTCTGCTGCATCTTTCTGACTTCATCCTAAGAAAATCGTCTGCCTTTAAGGGTTCACGTATTTAGACTGGGCCTACCTGGGTCATCCAGGATACTCTTTATTTGAATATCCAAAGTCTTAATTACATTGGCAAAGTCCACTTTTCCGTGTAACACAAAATATTCACAAGTTCCAGAGATTAGTGTGTGGATACCTTCAGGGAGCTATCATACTGCTTATCACAATATCTAACATGTATTAAGTACTATGATATTGCATGGCATATACTAAATGCGCCACACGTATTTTAATTTTGTCAACAGCTCTGAGATTGATTCTACTATTTTTAACCTTTTACAGGGAGTACTGAAGAGGATCATGTTACCTGAACAAGTTGTTAGATACAGTCAATTATGCTGTGAGGCATATGTATTCCTAAAATGTACTGTGCTATGCAAAATCACACAATGAAAAGCGTGAATGTTAAGGTGGAGATGAGGTGAAGTGTATAACATTCAACAACTTCATAAGGGACACATTTGAAAAAATGATAAACTGATAAGGTCAAAAGTGCATTGCATATACATTAAGGAATTGATAAATATGTAAAAAAATACATGAAATATGTATTTTACCTTGAGAAAGATGTGAAGTTTGCTTTAGGGAGAGGTTATTGGAAGGTTTCAGCCTGCAAGTAATTGTGAAGTGGTGAAAGGAGGGTTATTTGAAATCAGGTGGAAAGCTGTAACTACAGGGGTGGATGGGAGTGGCTCATAACCCATGTCATCAGCTAAGGCGGCTGGTAGATACTTGAGGGGTGTTTGTGCTTGCACTGTTGTGGATTCCTACCTAGCTCAGTTCAGCTAAGTGGTTTTATGCATTCACCTAGTGTTCCTCGGGGATGAATTCATGCATAAGTAAACAGGAAATTCACACCATGCTTAAATTGTACCCTAATATATCCATTACACTAGAATAAATTTGTGTTTTCAAAACAATTGTTATAGCAGAACTAACTGTAGTAAGAGGCAGAACAGCTCAGAGCAGGGTCATTTCATAATGTCTGAGCTTATTTTACACACACAAACATACACTCTGTCTCTCTTTCCTCTCTGCATTCATCAAAGAAAATGTGAAAAAGAGAATTTTGAGGAATTTCTATACTGAGAAATTTTAATATGTATCATAATCTTTCTAAAGGCTTTTGAGGTAGTGACTCTCATAGTGTGGCCCAATAAATAAGCATTCTACCACAATTTCTGGCCTCCATCAACTTTGAACCTAAGTGTAAAGACCCATATACCTCTACATTACATGATGGAATTTTGAGAAAAGCCTCATAGCATAGTTTCAAAGGGTATGGACTTTGGTTTGATACACTCTTTTTGAAGTAAGCAGGAAAAACTCTATATTCCTTAAACTAGGGGTGCCAGTTCATGGCCTCTTAGGTACCAGTTCGTGGCCTGTTAGGAACTAGGCTGCACAGCAGGAGGTGATCAGTGAGCAAGCAAAGCTTCATCTGTATGTACAGCTACTCCCTATCACTCACATTACCGCCCTGAGCTTTGCCTTCTGTCAGATCAGTAGCAGGATTAAATTCTGATAGGAGCCCAAACTCTATTGTGAACTGTGTGTGTGAGGGACCTAAGCTGCAAGCTCCTTATGATAACCTAATGCCTGATGATCTAAGGTGGAGCTGAGGTGGTGATATGAGCAATGGGGAGCAGCTGCAAATAAAGATTAACATTAGCAGACAGGTTTCACTGAACAGAGACCATAATACGTCAATTGCTTGCAGACTCATATCAAATCCCTATTAGTGACTGGCAAGCGACAAGCTACATCTGGTGGCAGGATTTAAGTCAGAATCTGACACTTATTTTAGTCCACATGTGGTCCACTCATTATTTTATTTACCACTTCCATCTATACCTTTTTCTCACACTATGCACTTGTCTCAGTCACGGTTTTGGTAAACCCACAAGCTAACCCTAGCCAAAATGAGTTAAAATCAAACATTACTGGAAAACTTTGAAAAGGGGGAAGAGCCAATGATGAGACAGCAGAAGACTCTAAGACTGCCAACAAAAATCTGCATTTAAAATAAAATACCAAGAGTCCTACTTAAATCATGAGTTCATTGCTACAGGCGATTCACTTTCTCCAAGCCCACTTTGTATAATATGTGGCAACCAGCTATCCAACAAAGGCATGAAACCTTCAAAACTGCTTCCCCAGTTGGAGACCAAGCAACCTGCATTAAAATACAAGCCTTTGGAGTTTTTCAAAAGAAAAAAAAATATCAACGTAAAGAACAGAAGCAATTACTGAAGACTACCACTTCATCAAATGTGTCTGCACTGAGCGCATCATTCTTAGTTGCTAACTGCATTGCTAAAGCCAAGAAGCTCTTCACTATTGGTGAAGAGTTGATCCTGCCTGTTGCTAAGGACATTTGTCATGAACTTCTCAGAGAGGCTGCAGTTCAAAAGGTGGCAACGTCTTCCTCTTTCAGCTAGAACCATAAGTAGACAAATTGGTGAAATGGCAGAGGATATTAAGGCACAATTGTTAGAGAGGATTAATGAATCACCATGGTATGCAATCCAGGTTGAGGAGTGTACCAATGTTGATAACAAGGCAACAATGCTTGTTTTTATGCAACATATTTTTCAGGAGGTGCATGAACACATGTTATGTGTGCTTTTGTTGCCAACCAATATCGCAATTGCAAAACTATCCAAGTCTTTGAATGATTACGTGCCAGGAAAACTGAATTGGTTTTTGTGCTGAATATATGGATGGATGGAGCGGCTACCATGACTTGACTGCTTTCTGGTTTCACTATTTGGATCAAAGAGATTGCTTCTGAATGTGAGTTTACACACTGTGTCATCCATAGAGAAATGCTGGCTAACTCAAAAATGTCACCTGAACTTAACCTTTTGCAGGGTGTGATTAAAATTATCAACCACACTAAACTATACACCCTTAACTCACACGTCTCTTCATGCAGCTCTGTGAGGAGATGGAGGCAGAGCACTTGTTTCTTCTTTTATCTGCAGAAGTTAGGTGACTTTCTAAAGGTAGATCACTGGCCAGAGGTTTGGAGTTATAAGAGCCACTCCAGAGATTTCTTTTAGAAAAACAGTCACCACTGGAAGCACAACTCAGTGGCACAGAATGGGTGACAAAACTTGCTTACTTGTGTGACGTATTCAACCTGCTCAACGAATTCAAGCTGTGACGTCAGGGGCAAATGATAACTGTTCCAGTCAGCAGATAAAGTGGAGGCATTCAAAGCCAAATGGGAATTATGAGGGCAATGAGTGAGCATTGGGATTTTTGACATGTTTCAAACATTAGCAGAGATTTTGAAAGAGACTGAGCCAGGGTCTTCTTTCTCCCAGTTGGTACATCATCACCTATCTCAGCTTTCAAGCATCTGAGCATTACTTCCCAGCCACAGAAAACCCCCAAACTTGGAAGGAATGGATCTGCAGCCCATTTGTGAATAAGCCAGGTTAATCAACTTTGTCTGTGCTAGAAGAGGATCACCCTCTTGAGATCACAAATGATGGTGGCCTTAAAAGTATGTTTGAGACAACTTCAAATCTCCATACATTTCAGATTAAAGTCAAGGCAGAATATCCTGAGATTGCCACAAAAGCACTGAGAAGCCTGCTTCCATTTCCATCATGCTATCTTTGTGAAGCACGGTTTTCTGCAGTGACAACAACTGAAAAGCAATTTTGGAGTAGACTGGACGTAAGCAACACACTTCAGGTACCACTGTCTCCCATCACCCCCAGAAGGAACCATTTAGTTGCAGGAAAACAAACTCAAGGCTCCCACTGATTCTACATTATAGTGAGTTCTATAATTATTTCATTAAATATTACAATGTAATTGTAATAGAAATAAAGTACATGATAAATATAATGCACTTGAATCATCCCAAAAACCATATCTCACCCCCAGTCCATGGATAAATAATCTTCCACAGATCTGGTCCCTGGTGCCAAAAAAAAAAAACTGGGGACTGCTGCTTTAAACTATTAATACAATTTGCTTTGGTCACCTACATATTAACACATCTAGAAAAAGGCAGGAGAGTTTGAGACTAGATAGACATTTTCAAGCGGCACTTTATACACGATCTAATTTTGTTCTCCTAGCAACTGGTAGAGGGGGTGGTCTCATCAGCCTATTTATTTTAGAGATCATGAAAATGTGTTTTAGGCCGGGCATGGTGGCTCACGCCTGTAATCCCAGCACTTTGGGAGGCCGAGGCAGGCGGATCACGAGGTCAGGAGATTGAGACCATCCTGGCTAACAAGGTGAAACCCCGTCTCTACTAAAAAATACAAAAAATTAGCTGGGCGTGGTGGCAGGCTCCTATAGTCCCAGCTACTCCAGAGGCTGAGGCAGGAGAGTGGTGTGAACCCGGGAGGCGGAGCTTGCAGTGAGCCGAGATTGCGCCACTGCACTCCAGCCTGGGCGACAGAGCCAGACTCCGTCTCAAAAAAAAAAAAAAAAAAAAAAAAAAAGAAAGAAAGAAAATGTGTTTCAAATAAGTCAAATGGCTTTACTAATATTACACACGAGTCAACTGCTAGATGAAAATTTTAAAAACTTGTCTGTTGACAGTGAAATCTATTATGTCATATTGCCTTCTGCTAAAGCCATGACTGAGTCAAAAAGGAAAGTTTTCCTCTCAATTATTCCTTATCTGGGAAAAGACACTTATTAGAATACTTCCCGTACTAGATTTTATCTTTTTTTCTCATGGTTATTAATATAATCACCCAGTTACTCAAGCCCAAAACAATGAGGTTTTCTTTGTGTACTCCCTCATCCACTACATGCAATAATTTACTTGTCATTGTCTATCAAACATTTCTTGAATCTTTCCAAGTCTTTCCATTTATTTTACCACCATCATTGTAATGCAGACCACATTGCCTCTCAAAGATCTCTACAATTTACTTCTTCAAATTCATCTTCTAAAATACCAACATATTTAGCTTGCTATTATAAAATTTGCAATAAATGAACACAATTAGTTCTCTGAAAATATATAGCTTTGTGAGCCCCTGAAAAGCAAAGAAACTAAAGGCTCATATATTGGAACATAATGCCTTCAGTAATACATTTTTATGCACATTTTCCCAAGGTTATTCGTTTCATGGAGCTTTGCCAAAGTGGGATAGTCCCCTTCCAGGAATCCAGTGGAATAAGAAATACAGGAAAGCCCTTCTTAATATATAAAGAAATTTCACAGAAAACATTATTTAACATATATATTAAGTGGCTGTTACATAGGTCTCATAGAGTCACTGAGAAATTCCAAGAATTGTCATTTTTTAAGCTTGTTGACCTTACCTGAAACCAAGAACAAGTCTTGCCCTTCTGAAAACATGTGCACAAGATTTATAGGTAAATAGTTCTTTATTTCTAAGTCCCCTATACTCCCTAGGGCGCCTGATGCAAGCTGCTGCTGATGCCTTAAGGAGTCTATATTAGGTGAGTAATTCATTAACACCTAGACTTTTATAAACTTATGAAGGAAATATCTCCTTTTGAACAAATGGAGAGAATGGTATTCTTTTACTTCAAATCTGTTTTAAAAATGACATTTAAAGATCAAGCTGAGGACACAATTGAGTGTTTTCACGCTGACAGCATCATGAAAGGAATCTTGAAAACAGTCACATTCCATGCTGAGACTATAGGTGACAATTGTTCCAATCCAGACCAGCTTATGTTGGATTTGGAGAGGCAGGAGGTTCAAAGTAAGTATTTTCCCTGCTGCAGTTTTGGAAATCATATTCTGGAAACCAAAAGGGAATGCTGCTCAATGCTGCTGCATGTTTGAAGGAATATTTATTGCCTTGATTTTATATTTATTACCTATAACACTGGCATTTTAGGACATAAAGTTACTTTACAAAGTCATATTAGGTGCACTTATCTTAAAAATGCATTTTCCTTGGCTGTTTTGCACTTCAAAAGATTGATAGGGACCTGTGGGTGCTTGAACATTGTTTTGTTTGGTTTATGAATATTTTGACTGTGTCAGTGGTGTTGCGGATGATTTTAGAATGCATTCTTCTAATAGTTGTTTTGATGTGTGGCTTTATGAATTTGATCTTTGGATGCAAACTGTGCTACACTCCATTGCCTTTGAGAATTTGGCTCTCTTGTTGCATAGTTGTCTTCTGTTTTACCTTAGAGCATTTCAGTTTCTTTTGCAGGGCGTGGGTCCTGAAATGCCTCAGCCTTTCCATGCTTTGAGATAACTTGCCAGAGAAATGAACTCATTGCTTACTCAGGAAATTACTGCAGTGGCACTAACTGGCATTAGTAATTAAGGGGTTGCCTTTGTGGTTTGCAAGTTTTTGGTGCAAGAACATTTGCATAGTTGGTGCTACATTCTGACAAATATACACAATATTCAGAAATTCCACTGGGATCATTCACTGCTTCCAGAACATTAATTCCTCTGTTGTTGTTTCACTATTGTCTTAATTCTGGCCTTTAACATTCCTTGCTTGTGCAGGATCCTAATTCGTTGCTGAACATAAAGTTTCCATAATCCCCCAACTTCCTTCCTCCAGCTTCCTCGTCCTTTAACATCACCAGGATCCTCACAATCAAATCATTTTCACACTGGTGCTAAAGCTATCTTTCTGAAGTAGATTAATCATGCTTCCACAAACACTCTTATCTCTTTAACTAAGACACTTTATGAAGTATACTCCACCTACCTTTTGTGCCTCATATGCTACAGCTCGTATATATTCTATAGCTGAGAATGTTAAGGATATTTCTTAGACTCACATTCACACACTATTTTATTTCACACACACATTGCTACATGTCTTTTTCTGTTATGGAATTGATAGTAGCAGGAGGCAGCCAAATGCCTAGGCAGATAGGGACAGGTACCTAGTGAAACCCCATCTCCAAGCTGAAGGCACCTTAAAGCCTGAAAGCCAAGTTACGAGTTAAATCCTTGGACCAGATTGAGAACTTGTCCTCTGGGTTCGGTGCACTTTCCTCTTATCAATCCCCACCCTTCACCTATTTTACATATACCTACCCTTTCCTAATTGTTTCTCCACACTGTTGTGCCCAACTTTGAGTGGTGTCTTTGCTTTAACCATTTTTGCATATTCACAAACCAGTCAGAATGCACTCCCCATCCTGTGCCTATAAAGACCGGAGTCTCATTTGGTAGAGGAGGAGATGGCCTGACTTCGGGGAAGAGACAACCTGACTTCGGAGGGGCGCAAGTCTGAAAAGGTTCTGAGGAATAGCATAGCGTATTTAGAATAGCATACTTAGAATATTTATATTGCATCATATCTGTGTATCTGAAAATCTTTCTCATTAAATTTTATACTCTTGGATGAATATTTTGTATTACCTTGTTTCTGTAGAATTAAACTGGACAGAGTAAGAATGAGCCGATTCATTATATTCTTTACATTTTCCGGTGATGCCTAAGACTAGGCCAAACCCAGTGTTTCTTGGTTAATGGTCATGGTCATAGCAGAGTAATTTGACCAATTTTAATAGATTTTCATCTTGATATGCATGTAATACATAAACTATTGAATTGCAATTCTTAGTGTTTTTTTCCTCTTATTAAAGAAAGTTAGTAACAAAATTCAACCCTGTACACACTATTGTGGGCACACATATATAAGCCACATGTATAAAACAGGGAGTTTAAAACACAATGAAAGTGTCAACTGTCTTAATACAAAGATATATTTTCTATTTTCTAAAAACAAGCATTTCTAGGTTTAACTTTTAAAATACAATGTTGCTTTCTGCTTGAAGCAGTTGTCTTAAAGCCTTTATTTTCTTGTAAATCAAATATTGGTGCAATCAATTTTTGAGGTAAACAATGTCTTTTTAATTATTAGTAATGAGACGCCTAATTACAGTATTAACACCTAATTCATGTCTTGTCAAGATGAGACAACCTTGTCAGAAAATTGTATTTTCTGCAAAAATCTCCGTAGCTCTGTCTTACGGTACGGCATTTTTCTTTCAAGGCAATACTCTTTTTCTGTCCACAGAATCCCTGTGTAACTTTCAGGTTTATTCGAGGTGGCAGCACCTATATCATATATCATTTCATAAAGTGAAGACCAGGCTGCTGCTTTTGAACTATAAAATAAGTTGTCCTGACCATAATTCAAACTATCTCCAACCTCCTGTGAGCATTTGCATAAATGTTCCACAAGAAAACATGGCAACATGAAGTAAATGGCAATCTGCCCCAATCATATTCTGGAGAGCACTCTTTGAGCAAGTGAGCTTCTATTTAAGGTTACGCAGTGTCTTTTTGTTACAGGAAGCAAGGTGGTGACTATGAGTTGTCCAGGTCCTTGATGTTGTGGACAAAGAATTGAACAAAACTGCACAAAGTAACAAAGGAAGGAAACACAGGAAGGAAGCAGCTAAACCAGAAATTTATTAAAGTGAGAAAGCACTCCACAGGGTGGGAGTGGGCCAGAGCAAGCGGCTCAAGGGCCCAATTCCAGGTTTCTTGGTTTTCTGTACTCCTTGTGAGGTCCCTATTGGCTACCCTTTAACTGGATGAAGGATTTGGTCCGTGGCTAATGAAAGGCTGAGGTGAATTGGTGCCCTATGCAGGTGAAGGGATGGCCCATGCTTGGCACTCTCCTTTTCCACCTGAGATGTGGTAGAAGAGGAAGGGTTGTAACATTTTAAGAGTGGATACAGGGTTACTATGAACATGACAATACCAGCTATGAAATGCCATGTGGAAAACCATCTACATAATGAGAAGACATGGATTTTATTGTGACCCTATTAATTCTTACCTGTCTAACCTTAGACAAATTACTTAATTCTGTATCTACAAATTGTCATTTATACAATGAGAATTTAATCATTAATAATCATGTCCCTATTTATAAGACGTGTTTATTAAAATATTTTCTTGGTTTCCCCCTCTTTTCTAAAAGGAAATACTTATTTTTAGAAGTATATTTCCTGCAAAGTAAAGTTTTCATATTCTTCATATTTTGGAAAATTAATTTGAGGGACAATTTCTGTATATATCAAGTAAAAAACACAATTTGATCATAAGTCACACAGTAGATTCCAAGACTTAGCTGAAGAGCACCAGAAAAAAACCAGGTTAAAAATATTTTGAAAATATGCCTAAAGAAAAAATCACCAGTTTGCAGTTGCTCATGATTTATTAATTTTCATGCCACAAAGTTAAAATAAATGGTCCATCATATTAATGCATAGCTTACATTGTAATGAGAACAATGTGTTACCACATACTACTCCTCTAGGACGAATTTTCATATGTGGCATCTAGCTCCTTCATACAATCTGACTTCTTATCTTGAATTTTAATGGACTATACAATTTACAGCCAATATTTTTGTTATTGCCTTCATTGCTTCAAGAACACCTAGAAGTGATTATGGTAAATAATATTCTGACTTTCCTAACAGGGGTATACTTAGCAGCAAAGTTATTATTTAAAACAATTTGGTAGCCTATTGAATATAAATAATTAAAATATTTAAAATATGAGCAAATGTATAGATGTACAAAAGAATATAAAGAGAGAAAAAATATTTATATAAAGAAGGTGTAATGTCATCTAACTGGATATAGAAAAATGCTGAAGAAATGAACTCCATCAAATGTTATTTTTAAGCTTAGGATAGTGATTTGGAAGAAATGCCCTATGCAGTGTTTGATTACTGACAACATTGTGATGACTAATATCACTTTAATGATGTATCACAATTGTAAGGATTTCACATTTTCAAATGAGATGGTATAAGTTATAAAAATATACATGCTTATTTGAAAAGACAAAATAGGAAACAAAGAAAATTCTAACACTCAAAGATAATTACTGTACCCATTTGGTCATCATTTTTCCAGACTTTTTAAAAACATATTATATTTTCATCTGTATTTTCCATTGCACATAGATAATTTAGTACATTACTTACTGCTGTGTGTGTGTGTGTGTGTATGTGTGCATGTATGCCAGGCAATCATCTTTGCCCTATGCATTAATACAATATTCAAATTAAACACGATGTCAAAAACTGGGAATGGTCTGCTATTTTCTGCTTTTTGTAAACTTGCATGTTAGATTGCTAAAGTTTCATAAATTCTGGTAGGATCTAAGGGATACTTGAGTCAGAAACAATGGACTTGATTTTTCATGGCACAGCAGGCATCACAACTTCACATTTGTTTTAGTTCTCCTTGTTTCCAGGACAATGCAGACAGTCCTTGTAGATGCTATACATGTAGTGAGTTTGCATCACAGCTGGAAAATCCAAGTTTAGGTAATCCTAATCTTTTATAGGAGATATACTAGCAAACTTGCCCAGCCTTTGCCCTTGAGGGAGACTTTTTTTTTCCCAAATAGCTAACAAATCTGTCATTTACGCTGAAGGAAGACAAACATCCTTGTGAAGATTGTCCAGAATATTGACTCTGGGCACATGACATGCAGAAACATGAGAGACCCATGGACAATTGTATCCCAACAAAATGAGGTAGTTTTATCAAACCTGGGTAGATCAGACTTCCTTCCCCAGGAATTTGGAATTGGGAGTAAAAGGATTAAATTTGGAACTGAAAGCAAAAAGATTTGGGTCTGAATTATTTAATAAGAGAGGTAAACAAGCATTTTGCTTTATTAAAATAAGCTGAATATCAGAATAGGTTGCTTTGGATATAAAGTGTCTTAAGGGTTTCCCTGTCATACGCAGTACTGCTAAATGCAGGTACATTTTTGCACACATGCCTGATTAATTTTTTAAACCAACCAATTATTTAAGCTAGAAGAATTGTTGGGTCAACAAGTTATGACAGTACTCATTTTTTCAGGCCTGCATACGTGTTACTCACATCTTATACTTACACTTGTTTACTTAATCTGCTGAAGACTAAATAGTTTATTAAAGGGTATGTCTTCATTTGTGTTTGTGTGGGCTCCCCCATGTTTATCCGGGTTTTTTTTTGTGCTGTATATTTCTATTTTATATAATTTTATGCATTAAAACCCATGCAAATCCTCACTGTGATTTATATTCTGTATCACTTCATAGTCCCTTTCATACTTTTTTAAAAATAGGTGATTCAACTTCATGTTTTTTTTCTTTTTAAGGAAAGCTAAGCTGCTTTAACAAGACCTCATAATTATTTGACCTACATAATGTAGAGTTAGTTTTCTTTTTTGATTTCAATAGGTTTTGTGTAACCAGTGGGATTTGGTTACATAAATAAGTGGTGATTTCTGAGATTCTTCTGCATCCATCACCCAAGCAGTGTACACTGTACCCAATGTGTAGTCTTTTTTTTTTTTTTTTTTTTGATACGAGTCTCACTCTGTCGCCCCGGCTGGAGTGCAGTGGCGTGATCTCCACTCACTGCAAGGCCTCCCGGGTTCACGCCATTCTCCTGCCTCAGCCTCCGGAGTAGCTGGGACTACAGGCGCCCGCCACCACGCCCGGCTAATTTTTTGTATTCTTAGTAGAGACAGGGTTTCACTGTGTTAGCCAGGATGGTCTTGATCTCCTGACCTCGTGACCCGCCCACCTCGGTCTCCCAAAGTGCTGGGATTACAGGCGTGAGCCACCATGCCTGGCCCCCAATATGTAGTCTTTTATCCCTCACCCTATTGCCTCCCTTTCCCCCAAGTTCCCAAAGTCCATTGTATTATTCTTATACCTTTGCATCCTCAGAGCTTAGCTCCCACTTATGAGTGAAAAGATACAATGTTTGGTTTTCCATTCCTGAGTTACTTCACTTAAAATAATGGTCTTCAATTCTATTCAGATTGCTGAAAATGCCATTATTTCCTCCCTTTTCATGGCTGAGTTGTATTCCATGACACATATATATATGTGTGTGTGTGTGTGTGTGTGTGTATGCATATATATCTCACAATTTCTTTGTCCACTGATTGATTAATGGGCATTTGGTCTGATTCCATATTTTTCCAATTGCGAATTTTGCTACTATAAACGTGTGTGCAAGTATCTTTTTTGTATCTTTTCCTCCAGATAAATACCCAGCAGTGGGGTTGCTGAATCAAATGGTAGTTCTACTTTTAGTTCTTTAAGGAATTTCCACATTGTTTTCCACAGTGGTTTTACTAGTCTACATTCCCACCAGTGGTGTAAAAGTGTTGCCTTTTTACCACATCCCCACCAAGATGTATTATTTTTTGATTTTTTTTATTTTGGCCATTCTTGCAGGAGTAAGATGGTATTGTATTGTGGTTTTGATTTGCATTTTCCTGATCATTAGTGATAATGAATGTTATTTTATATGTTTGTTGGCCATTTGTATATCTTCTTTAGAGAATTGTCTATTCGTGTCCTTAGCCCACTGTTTGATGGAATTGTTTGTTTTTTTTCTTGCTGATTTGTTTGAGTTGCTTGTAGAGTCTGAATATTAGTCCTTTGTCAGATGTATAGATTGTGAAGATTTTCTCCCATTCTGTGAGTTGTCTATTTAGTCTACTGATTATTTCTTTTGCAGTGCAGAGTTTTTTAGTTTAATTAAGTCCCATATATTTATCTTTGTTTTAGTTGCATTTGCTTTTGGGTACTTGGTCATGAAGTCTTTGACTAAGCCAATGTCTAGAAAGGTTTTTCTGATGTCATCTTCTAGAATTTTTATAATGTTAGATCTTAAAGTCCTTTATCTTGAGTTTATTTTTGTATAAGGTGAGAGATGAGGATCCAGTTTCACGCATCTACGTGTGGCTTGCCAATTATCCCATCACCATTCGTTGAATAGTGTGCCCTTTCCCCACTTAATGTTTTTGTTTGCTTTGTTGAAGATTAGTTGGCTGTAAGTATTTGGCTTTATTTCTGGGTTCTCTATTCTGTTCCATTGATCTATGTGCTTATTTTTGTGCCAGTATCATGCCGTTTTGGTGACTATGGCCTTTTAGTATAGTTTGAGGTAAGGTAATGTGATGCCTCCAGATTTGTGCTTTTTTTTTTTTGAATAATTTTTATTTAGTTAGTTATTTTTAATTATTATACTTAAAGTTTTAGGGTACATGTGCACATTGTGCAGGTTACTTACATATGTATACATGTGCCATGCTGGTGCGCTGCACCCTCTAACTCGTCATCTAGCATTAGGTATATCTCCCAATGCTATCCCTCCCCCCTCCCCCCTCCCTCCCACCCCACAACAGTCCCCAGAGTGTGATGTTCCCCTTCCTGCGTCCATGTGATCTCATTGTTCAATTCCCACCTATGAGTGAGAATATGCGGTGTTTGGTTTTTTGTTCTTGCGATAGTTTACTGAGAATGACGATTTCCAATTTCATCCATGTCCCTACAAAGGACATGAACTCATCATTTTTTATGGCTGCATAGTATTCCATGGTGTATATGTGCCACATTTTCTTAACCCAGTCTATCATTGTTGGACATTTGGGTTGGTTCCAAGTCTTTGCTATTGGTTACAGATTTGTGCTTTTTGCTTAGTCTTGCTTTGGCTATGCATGCTTTTTTTTGGTTCCATATGAATTTTAGGATTTTTTTCCTAGTTCTGTAAAGAATGATGGTGGTATTTTGATGGGCATTGCATTGATTTTGTAGATTGCTTTTGGCAGTATGGTCATTTTCACAATATTGATTCTGCCCATCCATGAGAATGGGATGTGTCTCTGTTTGTTTATCTATGATTTCCTTCAGCAGTATTTTGTAGTTTCCCTTGCAGACATTTTTCACTTCATTGGTTAGGTAAATTCCTAAGCATTTTATTATATTTTTTGGCAGCTATTGTAAAAGGGGTTGAGTTCTTAATTTGATTCTCAGCTTGGTCGCTGTTGGTGTATAGCAGAGCTGCAGATTTGTGTACATTAATCTTTTATCCTGAAACTTTGTTGAATTTATTTATCAGTTTTAGGAGCTATTTGGAGGCATCCTTACGGTATTCTAGGTAAACGTTTGATCATATCATCAGCAAACAGCAACAGTTTGACTTCCTCTTTACCACCCTTTATTATTTTTTTTTATCTTTTCTGATTGCTCTGGCTAGGACTTCCAGTACTATGTTGAATAGAAGTGGTGAGAGTGGGCATCCTTGTCTTGTTCCAGTTTTCAACGGGAATGCTATTAACTTTTCCCCGTTCAGTACTATTTTGGCTGTGGATTTGTGATAGATGGTTTTATGGCATTACAGTTAGATGTTTTTCTGTCTTTTCAATATTTGATGGTCGTAAGACCTGCCCAGGTTTGTGGAACAGCTGTAACTCGTGAAGTCATTCAATCATTGTTCTTCCCTTCCCTCCAAGCTTTGCTTTATTTTCATGAAACATAGCTCCAAAATCCAGGAGGAGGAAATTGCAGGTGAGTCATAACCGATATTTCACTTGCTAGCCTCAGATGTGAAGTCATATTCCATGGGACAATGTCATCACCTTCCCAAATCTACTTTCAATGAGAGTATTATAAGTATTATAATTATAATATTATTATAAGTATTATAATTATAATATTATTATAAGTATTATATTATAATTATAATATAATTATAAGTATTATATTATAATTATATTATAATATAGATTATATTATAGAAATATAATTTAGATTGCCACTCATGAACCCTGCAACTAGATACAATTTTATTGCTGTATAAGAAAGATAAATGTAGCAATTATTTTATATATGTATATATATTTATATATAGTACATACATATAAATATATAGTATTACATTTATATTAGAATACTCATTAAAATTAAACAAAGTACAGATATAAGTGGAATTATAATATGAATACATCTAAAATTTTTCCTGATATATTTTTTACATGTTCCATTAGTGCAAACACATTTAACTCAATTGTCCAAATTCTTGTTTAGAATTTCATGCGAGTCCAGAATTTTGTTATTGCGAAATATTTTTCACTGAAGTTTTTTTTAAATCTCTTTCATATAAGGGTATGCAATTATTTCTGTAGGATTTATTATTAGATGTAGAACTGTTTAGTCAATTAAATACATTGTGAGACATATGGAACCACATTGAAAAATTGGTCTTCAAATAAATATGCACCAATGTGCATATTTTGTATTCAGCTCTGAGAAAGATAAAATAATAATGCCCTCGTTATTTTCACCTCTCCCTTCTAACTGCCAACTAATTGATTTTGTTTTGAATTTTGGTAGAATAGTTATCCACATATACATACTTAAAATATGTTACTATTTTGATTGTTGCTTTTGTTTCACAATTTGTCATTTTTGTTCTTGTAATAACAATTACCACAGTTTGCGTGGTGAGATTATATATTTAAATGCATCAATGTTCAATGAACTTTGACACTGAAAATTCCCTCTTCATGAATGTTGTAATGAACCAAAGAGTCATCCACTTGGATTACTCCACATTGTCCTGGGAAATTAGCCTGGCATGGTGGTGCACACCTGTAGTCCCAGCTAATCGGGAGGCTGAGGCAGAAGAATCACTTGAACCCGGGAGGTGGAGATTTCAGTGAGCTGAGATCGCGCCACTGCACTACTCCAGCCTGGGTGACAGAGCAAGGCTCCATCTCAAAAAAAAAAAAAAAAAATATATATATATATATATATGTGTGTGTGTGTGTGTGTGTGTGTGTGTCTGTGTGTGTGTTTGTATGTGTATGTATATATTTAAGAAACCTCCAGTATACATACATAAAAAATTAGCATTGCAGATAATTATTTGGGCACTATATTTCAATACAACAAGGATATTAATAAGATAACATTTAGCTATGTTTATATGTATCACCATCAATTAGACAAGGGGAATAAACACAATATTATGAACCTCATGCTACCTGCTCTGCCGTGAGTAATAGAGTTAATCAGGTCCTTTTTCTCTTACCTTGTCTTTTTTCTTCTGCCAATCTCCATAAAACCTTGAAATGCTTATGAGTTTACTCTTAGCTTGTGATTACAGCAAAATTTCTGAAGCTTCACAGTTCTTGAGAGTGTGAAAAAAATTGTTTAATCACATTGTTATTTAACAATGTCTGTCACATTAACAGGTAATACAATGTTTTCTATTCTCCCCATTTTATCTATCAGTAAAAATTTTTCTTTTGTGACTTGCAAAGCATTGCTTTTAGCCATTAAGAATTTGTTACACTCCAAAACACTTATTTCCCTTAGAATTAGTTAAACTTTAGTTATTTCTGTATTGAAATGCTTAAACTTATGGTTTTAAATATTTATGTCTGTATTCACAGTGCATAGTACAGAGTATAGCATTAAGTGTTCCATAAAAGTTTGCTAAATAAACAAATGAGTAATGGATACCCTTTCTGATCTTGTATTCTTTTTATGGCACTTGATAGTATAAACTTGAATGAACCCAGAGATCAACAGAAAGGACTTTGAAAGCAGTTATTACACAGGAGAACTTATTAACAGATGTTATTTGAGGTGGTACATTTTTTCAGATCTGTTTAAATATCTCACATATCTGAATCTGATCTTGACGATGTTCTGAATTGATTACATAAAGTACATAAATTTGTCAATTTATGTAACATATAGATATATAAAAGCATTAATTTTAATGTCTATATTATACAGTTTTAAATTTTATTTTACATAGTTATATGTGTTTGTGCATGTGTGCATGTCTTCTTTGTCTTGGTCCTACATTGAGCATTTTGAATAAATACATTCTTGTCTTTTAACTTAGAAAACTGAGGCTGTATGATTGATACTGGTAGGCTCTGTTCTCTATTTCATCTTTGTAGAAAGGGTGTGAAACTTCTTTTTTTGTATTTGTAAAAATGTTCATTCTAGAGAAGTGTTTCTTTCATAGACACGCTTTTCTTTTAAAATATGTAAAAATTGTCCAGTTGTGTTTGAAGCCCAATTCCCTTAAAAGATAGTGGCTACTTTATTCATATGTAGGTGAAGTTGAATCAAATGAGGTTTTTTGTTATTGAAAACCAATGAGAAAAAAAAAGGCATTTTATGACTAATAGCACAAGGGTAAAATTTACTGCATTTTATTTTAATAGTTAACACATAATATGCACTCCATTCTCAAAATAATTATTGTAAATTGCAAAGCAAATTCAAAAAAAACCAGACTATTTTAAAGTTATTATATACTTCTGCTCTTTTAATTTTTGAGTTTATTTTTTTCAATTTATTTTTTATTTGAATAAATTTAAGGGCTGTGAGAGCAGCTTTGTGACATGGATATATTGTATAGTGAAGTCTGGGCTTTTACTGTACCCGTTACCTGAATAACTTACATTGTACCTATTACGTAATTTCTCATCCCTCACCCACCTCTGACCCTTCTGAGACTCCAGTGTCTATTGTGGACACTTTATGTCCATATGTACACATTCTTTAGTTCACAATTTAAGTGAGAACCTGCAGTATTTGATTTTCTAAGTTGTTCTGCTTAAGATAAGGCCTCCAGTTCTATACATGTTTTGAATTTGGTATTAAAATACCAAAGGCATGTGAATAGTGCTGCAATAAACATACAAGTACAGATATCTTTTTATAATGGTTTTTTTCCTTTTGGTAGATTCTGGATATTAGTCTCTATTCAGTTGCATAGTATGCAAATAGTTTCTCCCATTCTGCAAGTTGTCTGTTGACCCTGTTGATTATTTTAGTTTAAGTCTCATTTATCTATTTTCTTGTTGTTGTTGCATTTGCTTTTGAATTCTTTGCCTAGGCAAATATCCAAGATTTCTTTTAAGTTTTCTTTTAGTATTTTTATGGCTTCAAGTCTTACATTTAAATCTTTAATTAATCTTAAGTTAATTTTTGTACATAATGAGAGATAAGGATCCAGTTATGTTATTCGGCATATGGCAATCCAGTTCGGCCAGCACCATTTATTGAATAGGGTATCCTTTTTCCAGTGTATGTTTTCATCAGCTTTGTCAAATATCAATGGACTATAGTTACGTGACTTTATTTCTGGGTTCTTTATTCTGTTTCATTGATCTATAGGTCTAGGTTTACACCAGGATCATGTTGTTTGGGTTACTATAGCCTTGTAGTATAATTTGAAGTCAACTAATATGATGTCTCCAACTTTATTCTTTTTGCTTAGAATTTCATTGGCTTACTCGGGCTCTGTTTTGGTTCCATATGAATTTTAGAATTGTTTTTATTCTGTAAAACGTGATGATGATATTTTGAAAGGAATGTCATAAATCTGTACTTTGCTTTGGATAGTGTGGCCACGTTAACAACATTAACTTTTGCAATCCATGATCATGGGATGTTTTTTTCATTTGTTTGAATCATCTATGATTTGTTTCATCAGTGTAATGTAATTTTCCTTATAGAGATAATTCCCCTCCAGGGTTAAATATATTCCTAGTTACTTTAATATTTTAGTTATCATAAACATAATTGACTTATTTATTTGTATCTCTTTGTCATCATTTGTATATAGAAAGGCTACTGATATTTTTGTTGATTTTCATTTGGGAACATTATTAAAGTCATGTATCAAATCTAGAAAGCTTTTGCAGGAGTCTTTAGCCTTTCCTAGGTATAAGAATATATTGTCAACTAACAGATAATTTGACTTCCTCTTTTCCAATCTGGATGCCTTTTATTTCTTTCTATTGCCTGATTGCTCTGGCTAAGACTTCTAGTTCTATGGTGACTAGAAATGGTGAAAGTATGCATCTTTGTCTTGTTCCAGTTCTTAGGATAAATTCTTTAACTTTTTCTTCATTTAGTATGATGTGGGTTGTGGGTTTGCCTTATATGGCTTTTATTATTTTCAGGTATGTTATTTTGATGTCTGGTTTGTTGAGGGTTTGTGTCATGAAGAGATACTCCATTTCATCAAATGCTTGTTCTGCATCTATTTAGATGATTATATGGTTTTAAATTTTAATTCCGTTTATGTGGGGAATCACATTTATTGATTTGTGTATATTGACCCATCCTTGGTTCCCTGGAATAAAACCCACTTGATTATGGTATATTATCTTTTTGATGTGCTGTTGGATTCAATTTACTAGTTTTTTGGTGGGGATTTTTACACCTATATTTATCAGAGATATGGGGGATTTTTGCATCTATATCTATCAGAGATATGGGTATGTAGTTTACTTTTGTTTGTTAGTGTTGTGTCCCTTTCCGGCCTTGACATCAAAATACTGGGTTTGTAAAATGGGTTATGGAGGATTCCCTTCTCTTCGAATTTCTTGAAGAGTTTCTGGAGGCTTGGTACCAGTTTTTCTTTGTAGATTTGATAGAATTCATCTGTGAATTTGACCAGTCTTGGGAATTTTTGGTTGGGAGATTTTTTATTGCTAATTCAGTGTCATTACTTGTTATTGATCTATTCAGGATTTCTATTTCTTCCTGCATGAATCTTGGGAGTTGTATGTTCCCAGAAATTTATCCACTTTATTTAGGTTTTCTGATTTGTGGGTATATATAGTTGTTCACAGTAGTCTCTGATGATCCTTTGAATTTCTGTGGTATCAACTGTAAAGGAGACCCCTTTCTATTTCTCATTTAATTAACTTTTATTTTAAGTTTGGGGGTACATATGAATGTTTGTTACATAGATAAACTTGTGTAATGGGGATTTTTTGTACCAATTATTTTATCACCCAGGTATTCAGCCCAGTACCCAATAGTTATCTTTTCTGCTCCACTGTCTGCTCCCATGCTCCACCCTCAAGTAGACTCCCATGACTGTTGTTTCCTTCTTTGTGTTCATAAGTTATCATCATTTAATTCCCACTTGTAAGAAAGAACATGTGGTATTTGGTTTTCGGTTCCTGTGTTAGTTTGCTAAGTATAATAAGCCTCCAGCTCCACCCATGTTCCCACAAAAGACATGATCTTGTTCTTTTTTTATGGCTGCATAATATTCTATGGTATATATGTACCACATTTTCTTTATCCGATCTGTCATTGATGGGCATTTAAGTTGATTAATCTTTGCTTTTGTGAATAGAGCTGCAGTGAACATTCACGTGCATGTGTCTTTATGGTAGAATGATTTATATTCCTCTGGGCATATACCTAATAATGGGACTGCTGGGTTGAATCATAGTTCTGCTTTTAGCTCTTTGAGGAATCACCATACCACTTTCTACAATGGTTGAACTAATTTTAACTCCCACCAATAGTGTATAGGTATGTTCTTTTCTTGGCAACCTTGCCAGCATGTTATTTTGTGACTTTTTAATAATAGCTATTCTGACTGGTGTAAGATGGTATCTTAATGTGGTTTTGATTTGCATTTCTCTGATGATGATTGATATTGAGCTTTTTTTATATGCTTGTTTGCCACATGTTTATAATCTTTTGAAAAGAGTCGGTTCATGTCCTTTGCCTACTTTTTAATGAGATTGTTTTTCTCTTGTAAATTTAAGTTTCTTATAGACGGTCCATATTAGACCTTTGTCAGATACATAGTTTCCAAATATTTTCTCCCATTCCATAGGTTGTCTATTTACTCCATTTATAATTTCTGCTGCTGTGTAGAAGCCCTTAAATTTAATTAGATCCCACTTGTCCATTTTTGCTTTTGTTGTTAAATCTTCCCTCTTCTTTTCTTGGTTAGTCCAACTGATGGTCTTTTAATTTTGTTTATTTTTAACAACCAATTTTTTATTTTGTTGAGCCCTTATATTTTATTCTCAATTTCCTTTAGTTCTGTTTTGATCTTGGTTATTCTCTTCTTCTAGTAGTTTTGGATTTTATTTGTTCCTATTTTTTTAGTTCATTGAGGTAATGGCAGGTTGTTAATTTATAATCTATTTCTTTCATGTAGGTATTTAATGCAATAAACTTCTCTCTTAGCACTGCTTTTGCTATATCCCAAAGGTTTTGGTACGTTTTATTTCCATTTTCAATTGTTTCAAAATGTTTAAAATTTTGCTTCTTAATTGTGTTGTTGACACAACAACAGTAGTATGTTGTTTAATTTCCATGTATTTTTATAGTTTCAAGAGTTTCTCTTGGAAGTGATTTCTAGTTTTATACTGCTGTATTTCAAGAAGTTATTTAATCTAATTTTGATTTTTTTTGCTTTTTTTTGTTTGTTTGTTTTGAGACGGAGTCTTGTTCTGTCATCAGGCTGGAGTGCAGTGGTACAATCTCAGCTCACTGCAACCTCAGCCTCCCAGGTTCAAGTGATTATCCTGCCTCAGCCGCCTGAGTAGCTGGGACTACAGGTGCGTGCCACCATGCCTAGCTAATTTTTATATTTTTAGTAGAGATGGGGTTTCACAGTGTTAGCCAGGTTGGTCTCAATCTCTTGACCTCATGATCCACCTGCCTCAGCCACCCAAAGTGCTGGGATTACAGGCATGAGCCACCGTGTCTGGCCTGCAATTTATTGAGACTGGTTTTGTTAATTAACATATGGCCTCTCTTGGAGAATATTCCATGCACTGAGGACAATGCATATTCTGCTTTTGTAAAGTAGAATGTTCTGTAAATGTCTGTTAGGTTTATTTGGTCTAAAGTCCTGTTAAAGTGTTAAGTGATTCTTTGCTGATTTTCTATCTCAATGACATGTCCAGTGCTATGAGTGGGGTATTGAAGTCACCCAATATGATTGCATTGCTGTCTCTCCCTTTCCTTAGGTCTAATAATATTTGTTTTACGAATGTGGGTTCTCCAGTTTGGGGTGCATATGTATTTTGGGTTGTTATATTGATCCCTTTATCATTATATAATGACCTTTTTGTCTTTTTTTACTGTTTTTGATTTTAAGTCTGTTTTATCTGATATAAGTATAGCTTCTTTTAGTTTTCATTTGTGTGGAATCTCTTTTTCTACTGCTCTACCTTCAATTTATAAATACTGTTACCAATAAGCTGAGTTTCTTGTAAGCAGCATGTAGTTGATTCATGTTTTTTTTAAATCCACACTGCCGAACTATATTTTTAAGTGGAGCATTAAATCCAGTTATATTCAAGGTTAGTTCTGACAGGATTTGTTCCTGTTGTAATGTTAAGCATTATTTAGTTGCTTTGTTGAGTCTGTTTCTCTTTTTCCTCTGTTTGTCTGTGGTTTGATAGCATTTTCTCATGTTGCCATTTATCTTCCTCCTTTGTGTAATTGCTTTATATAACTTGTAAGTTTTATAATTTTGTGTTTTTATGATGGCTGGTATCAACTTTTTATTTCTATATTTAAAACACCTTTGGGCATTTCTTGTAGGACCAGTCTCATGGTGACAAATTTCCTTAGCATTTGCTTGTCGCCCAACACATTATTTCTTCTTTTTTTCATGAAGGTTATTCTGGCAGAATATATAGTTGACAGTTTTTTTCTTTAAGCACTTTGAAAATATAATTATTTCTGGCCAGTATGGCTTCTGCTGAAGAGTCTGCTGTTAGTCTGATGGGGTTTCTTTTGTAGGCAATGAGACGCTTTTCTCTTTCTGGTTTTAGAAATTTTTTTCCAACATATTGACTTTAGAGAGTCTAATGGCTACATGTCATGGTGAGGTCCTTCTTGCAATATACTTTGCTGGAATTTTGGGGGACTCTTGTATCTGGATGTCTAAATCTCATGCTAGACTAAGAAAGCTTTTTCTTAAATAGATTTTCCAGATGTTTCATTTCTTCTCCCTCTGGAATACATATGATTCATATATTTACTTCATTTCATGTAGTTCCATACTTCTCAAAGGCTTTGTTTATTCTTTAAAATTCTTTTTTCTTCATTTTGTCTCATTGGATAAAGTCAAAAGACTTGTTTTCACATTCTGAGATTCTTTCTTGTGCTCGGTCTATTCTACTGTTGAAGCTTTCAAATGTATTTTGTAATTCTTTCAACAAATTTTTTATTTCCAGAAGTTTTGTTTATCTTTTTAAAAGATATCTATCTCTTTGGTACATTTCTCATTCATATCCTGAATTGATTTTCTGATTTCTTTGTATGGGTTTTCAGATTTATCTTGTATCTTTTTGAATATCTTTTAAATCAGCATTTTGAATTTTTTATCTGGCATTTTGAATATTTCTTTTTGTTTGGTATCCATTGCTACAGAAAACTGTGTTCCTTAGAGGTGTAATAGTACCTTTAAAAAAAATACTTCCAGTATTATGACATTGATTTATTTGCATATGTGGGAAGAGTCACTTCTTACTTTTGTATTTACTTTTCATTGGGATGGCACTTTTTTATGTGAGGCTGTGTCTATGATATATATTAAGTATGAGGTCAGGAGTTCAAGACCAGCATGGCCAACATAGTGAAACCCCATCTCTACTAAAAATACAAAAATTAGCCGGGCATGGTGGTGCATGCCTGTAAACCCAGCTACTTGTGAGGCTGATGCAGGAGAATCACTTGAACCCGGGAGAAGGAGGTTGCAGTGAGCTAAGATCATGCCACTGCACTCCAGCCTGGGTGACAGAGCTAGACTCCTTCTCAAAAAAAAAAAAAAAGTTAAAAGAAAAAAAGTATGATTATTTGGCATTTCTTCTGGATGCATTCAGTGGTGTATACTCTGTATGATTTCCTTGGTTATAATTAGCCTTAGTGTGGTGGCTTCCTCAAATGCCAGTTGTAATAGCAATGTACTGGGAGGATGAGTGAGCTGAAGGCCTTCTCAGTAGCTGGGGTGCAATGGGCAATGAAGGTAGCAGAAGATCACGCAAAGGGTGTCTCCTTTGCAAATGTTATGAATTGGTATCAGCAGATGTTGTAATGAGCTGTGCAAGTTGACCTCCAGGCAAGAAGGTTGTGCTTTCAGGTGGGAGTCAGCTGCATTGGTGGCAATAGGGCTTATGCTTGCCCTTTGTTAGCCATGAGAAGTACCTGAGTGTCCCAGGCTATGGTTTAGGCCCTGGAACTCTCAGTGGTCCCAGTCCTATGCTCTGCCTCTAGGGTGGGTTGGATGGGGCTGAGATGGCCAATAGTGGGGACAAGTGGCAGCCTTCCAAGTGGTTGGAAGGCAGTTCTCAGGCCCCTAGAATAATGTTCCATAGAAGAGCACAGCAACTACTGATGAACCAAAGATGCAGCATGGGGAAAGAGGGGAAGCTCAGGCTCCAGAGACTAGCAGGTGGTAGTGTAGCCTGCTTTACTCTCCTGCTCCTGACCCAGTGGGGCTCTCTCCCACAGCCTGACACTGGCAGCAAGAATGACCAGTTAGCCAAGTCACAAGCAGTTTGTCTTCAGACCGTGAAACTGCACCAGGCCAAAAAATTTGCTGCCTGAGTCAAAACTGCAGTTCTCAGGCTAAACTTCTCCTGATCCAGTCTCACAAAAGTGGGGACATCCAACTCCCATGTCCATCGCTGGAGCTTATGCTACGTTTACCTCTCAGTTCTAGTTATGAAGGCTTCTCCCCAGCTTGAGACTACATCACAAATTCCCATCCAGTTAGTCTCCAAACCAGTGACTCCAGCCTGTGCTTGCTGGCAGCTTCCTGTGCAGTCACCTATGAATTAAAGGATAAAGAATGGTCTTCTATTGGCATGTGGGTCTGGGAATGCATGCAGGGCACTTCCTAGTATCAATCCTCCTCACAGTCTCCTGATTGCTCCCCAGGTCAGACCGAGGGCTTAGCAGGGTCAAGGAGTTCCCCTGTGGCCTGAGTTGCCCAGCTTCCCAGTGGGAATGTGCATTGCAAAGGCATTCTTTTTCCTTCTTATGCATTGAGAATTTACTCTCAATCTTCTGCTGTACATGCCATGTGAGCTGTTTTCTGCCTTATTTTTAAAAGCATTCAATGGTTTTTTAACTTTTATGTTGTGACCCCATGTTCCTTCATGGATAAAAGTTCGTAATGTGAATCTCTATATACTGTTTTACTATTTACAGGTAAATAAGTCATGCTGGCAAAGCCTCTATTCCACCATCTTGGGGAAAAAACCCAACAACGATTTATTTTTCAATTTTAATTTTCAGCTACTATCATTTAACTTTTAAGTTTGAACAATAAATTTTGTATAGAGAAAAAAATCAAAACAAGATTATATCAGTTTTTTCTCCTTATTCATTGATGTGAATCTGTAAGATTTTTGAGTAATTATTATGTTCCCATTTAAGCCTTCTTATATTTTTTAAAAGATAGGATTGATTGCCTTTTAATCATTTCATCACTTATGTATAAATGTAATACATATATGTGAACAAATATATGTATGAGTATAATTCTTTAGTTTGATGTATGTTTGGAGGCTACTTCTCCCCCATCTAAGTCTTATTTTTTTAACTTCCATTTTTAATGAAGAGAGTATCTTAATTTTTATAAAGCCTTCTTTATTGATTTTTTAAAAAAATTAATGGCTACGCTATTTGTGACCTAAGAACGTTCCCAACCCTCAAGACATGAAGGCATTTTTATTGTCTTTTCCATTAAAAAATACATTTGGGTCTATTAATTTTGAATTCAATTTTACCTATGATGTGAGGATTCAAAATTCATTTTTTCCTCCATAGTGATACTTAGTTGTCTCATCACAATCTGGCAGCAAGCCTTTACATTCACTATTGAATTACTTTGGCACCCCTGTAAATGATGCTCAATTGACCATTTAAGTGTAGGTTTATTTCTGAACTCTATTCTGTTGCAGTAATCTATGTGCATACCTTTATCACAATAGCTCATTTTCATTACAGTACTTTATAATAAATCATAAAATTAGCAAATGTGTATCCTCTAACATTATTATAAATTTTTAGAAATATTTCGATTTTTCCAGATCAATTTTAGAATTTGCTTGCCAATTTCTATTTTTAAAAACATGATGAAATTAAGATCAAGACATTTGGACTGAATCAATTGGGAAGAATTAAAATGAAAAAAATTAAGTCTTTCAATTAACGAACATGATAATATTTTAAATTTACCTAACTTTTTAAAAATTTCTATCTGCATTATTCTGTAGTTTCTAGAGTAGAACTAATTTACATTTTTCTTAAATTTATTCATACTTGTGCTTTTTAAAAAAGATATTCCTATCAAATCATAAACAATATTCTCCACAGAATTAGAAAAAAAAAATTCTAAAATTCCTCTGGAACCAAAAAAAAAAAAAAAAAAAAAAGCCCAAGCAGCCAAACCAATCCCAAGCAAAATAATAAAGCCAGAGGCATCATCATACTCCTGAACTTCAAGCTGTACTACAGAGCAGCTGTAACCAAAACAGCTTGGTACTAGAATGAAAACGGACATATAGATCAATAGAAAAGAATAGAAAACTCAGAAATAAAGCCACCAACTTATCAACCATCTGATCTTCGATGAGGTAGACAAAAACAAGCAATGGAGAAAGGGCTCCTTATTCAATAAATGATGCTGGGATAACTGGATAGCCATATGTAGTAGGCTGAAGCTGGATGCCTACCATTCAGCATATTCAAAAATTACCTCTGCTAATAGTTCTTTTAAATCATGAGTCAAAAATTATTTCAATGTAAGACCTCAAAATATAAAAATCCTGGAAGACAACCTAGAAAGTACTCTTCTGAACATTAACCTTGGCAAAGAATTTTTGGCTAAGTCTCCAAAAGCAATTGCAATGAAAACAAAAATATCTAGATAAGCGCAAGTGAATTAAACTAAAGAGCTTCTTTGCAGCAAAAGATATAAACAGTATAAACAGATAACCTACAAAATGGGAGAAGATGTTCACAAACTATCCATCTGACAAATGTCTTATATTGAGAATTTAACTAATAACCCCGTTAAAAAATGGGCAAAGGACATGAACAGACACTTCTCCAAAGAAAGCATACAAGTGGCCTACAGACATAAGATAAAATGCTTAGCATCACTAAACATCAGAGAAATGCAAATCAAAACCACAGTGAGATATTATCTCACATTAGAATGGCTATTATTAAAATGTCAGAAAACAACAGATGCTAGTGAGGCTATGGAGAAAAGGGAACACTTATTTACTGGTGATGAGAATATAAAATTAGTCCAGTCACTGTAGAAAGCAGTGTGGATATTTCTCAGAGAACATCAAGTAGAGCTACCATACAATCCAGCAATCTCATTACTGGGTATATATCCACAAGAAAATAAATTGGTCTACCAAAAAGACACATGGACTCGTGTGTTTGTCACTGTGCTATTCACAAGAACAAAAACGTGAAACCAATCCAGGTGCCCATCAATTATAGATTGGATAAAGAAAATGTGATACATATACACTTGGAATACTATGCTACCATATAAAAGAATGAAATCATGTCCTTTGCAGCAAGATGGATGGAGCTGGAGGCTATAACCAGAAGCGAATTAATGCAGAAACAGAAAACCAAATACTGCATGTTCTCACTTACAAAAGGGAGCTAAACATTGAACACACATTGACATATATATGAGAATAATAAACACTGTAGGTTACTAGAGGATGGAGGAAGGTGGGAGGGCTAAAAAAATGACCTATAGGGTACTATGCTCACTACCTGGGTGACAGGATCCATACTCCAAAGCTCAGCAGCATATATTCCCATGTAACAAATCTGCACATGTAACTGCTGTATCTTAAAGAGAAGTTGAAACTGAAATTTTTAAAATTTATTTTCCAAACTGTTTCTGTTGCATATAAAAATTCATTGACTATATGTACATATATACTGTATTCTGAAAAATACTCTATTCATTAGTTATTATTAGCTGTTCTGTAGGTTCCATAAAACTTCTGGGAAGTAAATCTTGTTCTCTGTGTATAGACGCATTTCTATTTCTTTTTATCCAAACTTTGTGGTTTATACTGACTAAGACTTGTAACATGTTAAATAGAAGATGGAGAGTAGTCATCCATGCCCTGTTCGTGACCTTAAAGACTGCATAGTTAATATTTCACTATGAAATCTAATGTTACATGCGTACTTTTTAATCATTGCCCTTTATTAGACTGAAATAGTTTATTTTTATTTGTAATTTGCTAATAGTTATTTAAATCATGAATGGATGATAAAATTTTCAAATGATTTTTTAAATTTATTGAGGTAATGATATATTTATATTTTCCTCTTTTAATATTATATATGCATGACTTTTACTTTTTATTATTTTTATTATTTATTATTATTATACCTTAAGTTCTAGAGTACATGTGCACAACATGCAGGTTTGCTACATATGTATACATGTGCCATGTTGGTGTGCTGCACCCATTAATGCATCATTTACATTAGGTATATCTCCTAATGCTATCCCTCCCCGCTCCCCCCACCCCAGGACAGGCCCCAGTGTGTGATGTTCCCCATCCTTTGTCCAAGTGTTCTCATTATTCAATTCCCGCCTATGAGTGTGAACATGCGGTGTTTGGTTTTCTGTCCTTGCGCGAGTATGCTCAGAATGATGGATTCCAGCTACATCCATGTCCCTACAAAGGACATAAACTCATCCTTTTTATGGCTGCATAGTATTCCATGTTGTATATTTGTGACACATTTTCTTAATCCAGTCTATCATTGATGGACATTTGGGTTGATTCCAAGTCTTTGCTATCATGAATAGTGCCGCAATAAACAAGCGCATGCCTGTGTCTTTATAGTGGCATGATTTATAATCCTTTGGGTATATACCCAATAATAGGATCTTTGGGTCAAATGGTATTTCTAGTTATAGATCCTTGAGGAATCGCCACACTGTCTTCCACGATGGTTGAACTAGTTTACACTCCCACCAACAGTGTAAAAGCGTTCCAATTTCTCGACATCCTCTCCAGCACCTGTTGTTTCCTGACTTTTTAATGATCACCATTCTAACTGGTGTGAGATGGTATCTCGTCGTGGTTTTGATTTGCATTTCTCTGATGGTCAGTGATGATGAGCATTTTTTCATGTGTTTGTTGGCTGCATAAATGTCTTCTTTCGAGAAGTGTCTGTTCATATCCTTCGCCCACTTTTTGATGGGGTTGTTTGTTTTTTTCTTGTAAATTTGTTTGAGTTCTTTGTAGATTCTGGATATTAGCCCTTTGACAGATGAGTAGATTGCAAAAATTTTCTCCCATTCTGTAGGTTGCCTGTTCACTCTGATGGTAGTTTCTTTTACTGTGCAGAAGCTCTTTAGTTTAATTAGATCCCATTTGTCAATTTTGGCTTCTGTTGCCATTGCTTTTGGTGTTTTAGACGTGAAGTCCTTGTCCATGCCTGTGTCCTGAATGGTATTGCTTAGGTTTTCTTCCAGCGTTTTTATGGTTTTAGGTCTAACATTTAGGTCTTTAATCCATCTTGAATTGATTTTTGCATAAGGTGTAAGGAAGGGATCCAGTCTCAGCTTTCTACATATGGCTAGCCAGTTTTCCCAGCACCATTTATTAAATAGGGAATCCTTTCCCCATTGCTTGTTTTTGTCAGGTTTGTCAAAGATCAGATGGTTCTAGGTGTGTAGTATTATTTCTGAGGGCTCTCTTCTGTTCCATTGCCCTATATCTCTGTTTTGGTACCAGTACCATGCTGTTTTGGTTACTGTAGCCTTGTAGTATAGTGTGAAGTCAGGTAGTGTGATGCCTCCAGCTTTGTTCTTTTGGCTTAGGATTGTCTTGGCAATGCGGGCTCTTCTTTGGTTCCATATGAACTTTAAAGTAGTTTTTTTTTTTCCAGTTCTGTGAAGAAAGTCATTGGTAGCTTGATGGGGATGGCATTGAATGTATAAATTACCTTGGGCAGTATGGCCATTTTCATGATATTGATTCTTCCTATCTGAGAGCATGGAATGTTCTTCCATTTGTTTGTGTCCTCTTTTACTTCATTGAGCAGTGGTTTGTAGTTCTCCTTGAAGAGGTCCTTCACATCCCTTGCAAGTTGGATTCCCAGGTATTTTATTCTCTTTGAAGCAATTGTGAATGGGAGTTCACTCATGATTTGGCTCTCTGTTTGTCTGTTATTAGTGTATAGGAATGCTTGTGATTTTTGCACATTGATTTTGTATCCTGAGACTTTGCTGAAGTTGCTTATCAGCTTAAGTAGATTTTGGGCTGAGACGATGGGGTTTTTTAAATATACAATCATGTCATCTGCAAACAGGGACAATTTGACTTCCTCTTTTCCTAATTGAATGCCCTTTATTTCCTTCTCCTGCCTGATTGCCCTGGCCAGAACCTCCAACACTATGTTGAATAGGAGTGGTGAGAGAGGGCATCACTGTCTTGTGCCAGTTTTCAAAGGGAATGCTTCCAGTTTTTGTCCATTCAGTATGATATTGGCTGTGGGTTTGTCATAATGGGAGATTTTAACACCCCACTGTCAACATTAGACATATCCACGAGACAGAAAGTTAACAAGGATATCCAGGAATTGAACTCAGCTCTGCACCAAGCGGACCTAATAGACATCTCCAGAACTCTCCACCCCAAATCAACAGAATATTCATTCTTCTCAGCACCACACTGCACTTACTCTAAAATTGACCACAGGGTTGGAAGTAAAGCACTCCTCAGCAAATGCAAAAGAACAGAAATTATAACAAACTGTCTCTCAGACCACAGTGCAATCAAACTAGAACTCAGGATTAAGAAACTCACTCAAAGCCACTCAATTACATGGAAACTGAACAACCTGCTCCTGAATGACTACTGGGTACATAACAAAATGAAGGCAGAAATAAAGATGTTCTTTGAAACCAATGAGAACAAAGACACAACATTCCAGAATCTCTGGGACACATTCAAAGCAGTGTGTAGAGGGAAATTTATAGCACTAAATGCCCATAAGAGAAAGCAGGAAGATCTAAAATTGACACCCTAACATCACAATTAAAAGAACTAGATAAGCAAGAGCAAACACATTCAAAAGCTAGCAGAAGGAAAGAAATAACTAAGATCAAAGCAGAACTGAAGGAGATAGAGACACAGAAAACCATTAAAAAAATCAATGAATCCGGGAGCTGTTTTTTTGAAAAGATCCACAAGATTGATTGACCGCTAGCAAGACTAATAAAGAAGAAAAGAGAGAAGAATCAAATAGACACAATAAAAAATGATAAAGGGGATACCACCACCGATCCCACAGAGATACAAACTACCATTAGAGAATACTATAAACACCTCTACACAAATAAACTAGAAAATCTAGAAGAAATTGATAAATTCCTGGACACATACACCCTGCAAAGACTAAACAAAGAAGAAGTTGAATCCCTGAACAGACCAATAATAACAGGCTCTGAAATTGAGGCAATAATTAAGAGCCTACCAACCAAAAAAAATTCCAGGACCAGACTGATTCACTGCCGAATTCTACCAGAGGTACAAAGAGGAGATGGTACCGTTCCTTCTGAAACTATTCCAATCAATAGAAAAAAAGGGAATCCTCCCTAACTCATTTTATGAGGCCAGCATCATGCTGATAACAAAGCGTGGCAGAGACACAACAAAAAAAGAGAATTTTAGACTAATATCCCTGATGAACATTGATGCAAAAATCCTCAATAAAATACTGGCAAACCGAATCCAGCCGCATATCAAAAAGTTTATCCACCATAATCAAGTTGGCTTCATCCCTGGGATGTAAGGCTGGTTCAACATATGCAAATCAATAAATGTAATCCATCATATAAATAGAACCAATGACAAAAACCACATGATTATCTCAATAGATGCAGAAAAGGCCTTCAACAAAATTCAACAGCCCTTCATGCTAAAAACTCTCAATGAATTAGGTATTGATGCATGACTTTTAAACAATTTAAACTCTCATGCATTCTTCCAATGCATCTATTAATACAAATATGTTATTTTTGTAACATATTACTTGATTTAATTTTCTAATATAATAATTTTTACAATCATGTTCATGAGAAATATTGGTTTGTAATCATATTTTCTTAAAATATATTTGTCAGATTTCAGTATCAGAGTTACTTTGGCCACTTAATGTTACTTGGAATGTGTTTCTTTCTCTCTAGTTTTAGAGAGTTTATGTAGAATTAGCATTATTTCTACGTTAAATGTTTCATAGAATATGCCAGTGAAACCAATTTCTTTAATACATATGAGGACTACTCTGGTTTTCTATTCAAATGTTTCTCATTTAGGAAAATTGTGTTTTTCTAGGAATTAGTTTATTTTATCCAGTTTTTCTAGGTTTTTAGAATAAAATTATATATCTATGTATATATATGTGTATATATATACGTATATATATGTGTGTATATATATACACATATATATGTGTGTGTATATATATATACACGTATATATATACACATATATATATATACACGTATATATATATATACACATATATATATACACACATATATATATACACACATATATATATATATATATATACACACATATATATATATATATATATTTAGATGGAATCTTGCTCTGTCGCCCAGGCTGGAGTGCAGTGGTGCGATCTTGGCTCACTGCAAGCTCCCGCTTCCTGGATTCATGTCATTCTCCTGCCTCAGCCTCCCGAGTAGCTGGGACTACAGGGGCCGGCCACCATGGCCCGCTAAATTTTTGTATTTTTAGTAGAGACGGGGTTTTACCGCATTAACCAGGATGGTCTCGATCTCCTGACCTCGTGATCCGCCCGCCTCGGCCTCCCAAAGAGCTGGGATAACACGCGTGAGCCACCGCGCTCACCCTATTATAATCATTTTAATATTTATATAATTCTATTTCATTTATCATATTGGTAATGTTTGTTTTATTTCCTTTTTACTTCATCAGTATTTCCAGGCATTTATTTATTTCATTTATCTTTTCAAAAAATCAACATTTTTATTTATAAAAGATTTCTCTTATTAGAAATTTAAATAATTTATTTGCTGATGTGTATTTACTTCCCTCTATTTTATTGAAATTTATCTTTTTATTTCTATCTTCTTACAGATAGGAATTTAGGTCATTAACTTTAAATTTTTCTTATTTTCTCATAATTGCTATTAAAGCTGTAATTTTTTCCCTAAGCACTGCTTTAACAGTTTCCTGTTTTTTTTTAATGTTTTTAATGTTAAAAGTATTTTCTAATTTCTCTTGTTTTTTTCATTTGGCTCTTGGGTGAGTTAGAAGTGCATTGTGTAATTTCCAAATATGTCTGACTTTTTTCCATACTTTATTTTTATTGCTTTCCATTGAGTTTATCATGGTCAGAAAACATACTCTATAAGATTTCAAACTCTTACAATTTACTGAGATATATTCTGTAGCCCAGCATGTTATCACCCTTGGTTAATGATTCAAATGTAGTTGAAAAGATAGGGTATTTTGATTCAATTCTGAAAATATATAATGATTCAAAGGTACTTGAAAAAATAGTGTATTCTGAAGTATACTGAGTGTGGGTCTCTTACAAGTAAATTTGTGTTGCTATAAAGGCATACCTGAAACTGAATAATTTATAAAGAAAAAAATGCCAGCAGCAGCTGAAGATTCTGCTGGCTGGAAGCTTGAACTTCTAGCAAAAGCCTCAGGCTGTTTCCACTCGTGGAGGAATGTGAAAGGGAGCCAGCAGGTGCAGAGATCACATGGCAAGAGAGGAAGCAAGAGAGAGACTGGAGGTGCCAGACTCTTAAACAACCAGCTCTCCTGGAAACTACAGAGTTGGAACTCACTCACCACCACCCCAAAACATTAGTCTATTCATGAGGGATCTACCCCCATGACCCAAACACCTCCCATCAGATCCCAACTTCAACAATACGGATCAAATTTGGAGGAGACAAACATACAAATGATAGCAGTGGTTAATAATTTAATTCACAACTTCTGTATCATTAATAAGAATTTGAGATTTTTTTTAAATCAAGTATTTATAAAGAATCTTTGAAATGTCCAACTATAATTATTCTTTTAAGTATGTGCATATTTAGGATTAATATATTTTTCTGATAAATTTTTCCTTTTGCCATTATGAAATCCCCTTCTTTATCTCTGGTAATGTTTCCCATCTTGACTTTTTCTGTCTGATATTATTATAATCAGGCCAAATTTCTTATACTTTTTGTTTCCACAACATACTGCTTTTCATCTTTTACCTTTGCTTTCAACATTTTATATTTAAAGTACATCTCTTATATTAGTCTGTAGTTGAGACTTATCTATTTGGAAAATGTCTACCTTTTATATGCACTTATTAGTTTATTGCCATTTAATTTATTATAACAATTATATGGTTGGATTTGGGTTTATCATGTTATTAATTTTCTATTTATCCCATCTGGTATTGATAATTTACTTCCTATTCTGTCTTCTTTTCAGTTAACTGAAAGTTTTTAATATCTTATTTTAATTTTTCTATTGACTATATCTTTATACATTCCATTTTTATTAACGTCCTTGGGATTGAATCTTTAATTTATTGCAGTCCACCTAGAATTAATATTGTAACACTTCTTATAAAATGTCAAAAACTTGTCATACTATATTTCCATATCCTTACCAGGCCATTATGTTATAGTGTATATGTGTGTGTGTCCACTCATATACATATATATCTCTCTCTCTATATATTTTTTTTCCTATAATTATGTGTTATAATTGTTGCTTTAAAAATTGTGTATTTTAAAAAATAAGGAGAAAATATAAGACTTTACCTACAAATTTGCCATATCTGGTGCTCTTTATTCTTAGTGTAGTTTTCAGTATAATTTCTCTTCAGTTGTGTTTTTTTTAGCATTTACTGAAATGCAGGTCCACTGAAATGAATTATTATTGAAACTCAAAGAAAATAAGAGGTTTGTATTCAGAAATATCTTTTTTTACTTAGGTTTCATTTTTTAAAAATATTTTTGATGGATAACATATTTCTGAGCTGACAGGTTTTATATTTCTGTTGTTGTTCATGGTAATTTGTTCAGCACTTAAAAGATATCATTTCATTGTCTTCCAGCCTACCTTTTTGTTTTCTCTGACCGGAAGTCAGATACCATTCATACAGTTATTCTCTTGTATAGAATACAAGATATTGTATTGCTTTTAAGATATTTTCTTTATCTCTTAAGATATGCATTGTAAGGCTCTGAAACGAAGGTGAAGGTAAAAGAAAGAGTGAGAGAGTTGGCAGCTCAACAGCAACACAGGTTTATTGAACAAAGACCTGCGGAGGCGGACACCAGCTAGTGCAGGAGCCTGCCTTCGTTTACAGACTAGGGCGGGGGAAGCTCTGGGCTTACTGTGAAATGGGGTGGGCAGCGAGGTTGGCTGCTGATAAGGAGGAATTTCCTGTGGTCAGGCGGTTAGGCCTGGGACTTGTCCAGGAGGATGTTTCTCATGGTCCCAACCCTAGTGGAATTTTCCACTCTCACCACGGTCTGCACAATGGTGGGGTTGTACAAACTGGAGCAACTTGAGCTAACATGCCTAAGTTGCAATTTTGACTTTGTATTAATTCTTTGGATTTGCTGAGCTTTTTGTGTGTAATTTGCACTTTTCACCATGTTTGGGAAAATGTCAGCCATTAAGTACAATTTTCTGCCCTATTCTTTATCTCCTATCCTAGGACATCTAGACTCCATTTTATTTTCAAACTTGTTCTCTCCTGTATTTTCAGTACTTTATAAATTACTGTTTATATGACTTCAATTTCACTGATAGTTTCTTTTGCCTTCTCTAATCCAATATTAAGCAAATTCAATAAATTTTTCATTTCAGATAATACAAATTTTAGTTTTAAAATGTTCATTTGGTGCTTTGTTATAGTTTCTATTTATCCATGGATGTTCCCCATCTGTTAATTCATGTGGCCCTAGCCTTTTTTTTAACTCCTTAAATATATTGATATTGGCTCCTTTTAATTATTTCTCTGCTATCAGAAATGGCTAAAACATTTATGAGCTCAGTGCAAAATTAACATGTAGATCACATTTTCTTATTTCTTTCCATGTTTAAAAAAATGGATTGTGAATGATAGGCTATTGAGCCTTTGGATTCTTTTTATAAAGAATGTTGATTCTGCCTTTAGCAGACAGATGACATGGAAGGATTACTACTCTAAACTCTGCCTTCCCTAGAGTGTACAGCAGCTAAAGTCTCTGCTGGGCTCTCTCAGCCTTGCGGCTACTGCTTCCTTCTATATCCTCATGCTCTCTCCTATACATGAACTATTTCTGTATTAGTTAAGGAGCTGGGTAAAGATTTTTCTTAGGGGTGTTAGGTATCCGAGTTACTGGCTGTGAATCCATATGGGTCAGGAAGCAACCTCAATTCTTGCCTTCTCAGAAGAAATAAGTCAACTGAGCAGCATAAGGCAGAAACAGAGACCCAGGCAAGTTTCAGAGCAGGAGCGGAAGTTTATTTAAAAAGGTTCTTTAGAACAGGAAAAAAAGGAAGGTACGTTTGGAAGAAATCCAAGTGGGTATGTGAAGGCCAAGTGCGATGTTCAACCTTGATCCTAAGACTTCACAGACTGTCTTCTTTCTCAATACTACTCCCTTAGGGTGGGCTGCCTGCATGCAAAGTACTCCTTACCCTTGGAAGGTGAGGGCGCACAGTGTGTTTAGGAAGTTGTAGGCATGTCCATGTGAGGCTTTCTTCACTTTTCTGATGAACTGCCCCTGGAAGGTCATACTCTGCCATTTTGTCTCTTAATGAACATGCCCAGGAAGTTGCATCTCCCTGGTGCCTGCATCCAATTAACACTTTCGTGCAACAGTGTGGACCATCAGGAATTGGCCTCTCTCTGGTGCCACTGCCAGTGAATCACTTTTTGTTGTTGTTGTTGTTGTTTTTGTTGTTTTGAGATGGAGTCTCCCTCTGTCTCCCAGGCTGGAGTACAGTGGCGCGATTTCGGCTCACTGCAAACTCCACCTCCCAGGTTCACGCCATTCTCCCACCTCAGCCTCCGGAGTAGCTGGGACTACAGGCGCCCGCCACCACGCCCAGCTAATTTTGTTTTTGTATTTTTAGTAGAGACAGGATTTCACCCTATTAGCCAGGATGGTCTCGATCTCCTTGAAGGGAAAATTAATGAATTTTATAATAGCCAAGAAATTTATTCTTTTCCTTAAAGGTAGAATGCAATATAGCCCCACCCGGGGGCCTGGGTTGAGAGAATATTAACTGCTTGTTTCTCCTCTGTGCCCAGAGAGGCTTATCTGTGTTCTATCATTTCACGTTCCTTGAGGCACGGCGTGTTCTTGCTTCTCTCCCTAGCGCAGCTGTTAAGTCACAAGGATGATAAGCAAATGTTGCAAAAACATGTATTCCCAAGGATGTAAGACATGTGGTGTAACAAATGTAAAAGAATGATTAACTGCCTTTGTTCTCGCTTCTGCAAGTACTCTTCCCGTAGCACGTAACTCCCGCCACAAACAGCTTAAAAGGTGATTGGACCCTAGTCTGACTGAGCCGGTGATCACCTTAATAATAAAGCGCTCTCCTTAACCTTGTCGGTCTCTCCTGTTTGATTGTCCCGCAACATCCTGACCTTGTGATGCGCCCGCCTCAGCCTCCCAAAATGTTGGGATTACAGGCCTGAGCCACCGCGCCCGGCCGTGAATCACTTTTAGCGAGGCCAGGTGATCATTGCGGAACCATCACCTGACATTCCTAGTGGACGAGGGAAGAGCCCTCGCCAGCCCCACTCATGCCTGTCTAACTGCCTAACTACCTAAATTGTAGCATTTTGAGCTACATCAAACAGCTGTTTCCTTTCTAGTATTTGCCCTAGTATTTTCCCCCCTCATCTTTTAGTTATTCTTTCAGTTATTGTCACACTCTATTAAGCCAGTGAAATTGCAACTTTGTACTTGATCTCTAGCAACCCAAACACAAAAGGGCACGGGGGACCAGAAATTACCCTCAAGCAATAGTCATACAATAAAAAATTCTACTCACTAGGTGCAATTCTCTTCTTTCAAGGGTTGAATCTTCTTCAGTTTCTTCCTGTCTTTGGTCATGTTCTGGTGCCTTCAGTTATGTTTTTATATTTTCTCCAGATTTTTAAAGACAGTAATTCTGAGATAAACTACTGTGCCAATAGCCAAAGTAGTCATTTGTGAGGCTAGTATTTGAGATATGTTTTAACACTTTCCTCCTGTCCCAGGCTCTTCTTAGCTGCTTTTTTCCCCATTTCTCTCCAGTAAGCTAATTGGCCTAAGGATTAGTTTGTTGCTCTGCTATATATACCAGCCTCCTCTTAAATACTTACCCCCAAAATTTTCTTTGTCATCAAGATTGCCTTTGGTTTTGCACTACCTCACATTACGTTTTAAATAAAAATTAGTTTCTTGGAGAGGGTTTGGGAACTCTGTTTTATGGACTGTGTTTTCCCCGGGGCAAAATCTCTGAGTCACTCCTCCAGGCCCTGCGTGAAGGTGAGAGCCTCTGAACTTCTCTGCATGTGAAACCCCCACAGTACAAGCAAACTAGGGCTAAGGTAATCGGTCTCCACATATTCTTGGCCTGCTGAAACTAAGGTAAATAATTCTGCCCTATGAGTTGGGGTTGGGTGTAGAAAAGGAAGCCGTAAACTCTTAGTCACACTAACCAGGATCTTAACCTCTGCAACTCAACGTTTAAGCAGATAAATGCTGGTGGCCTTTCCATTTCCAGTGAGATACAATATCTGTTGATTGGGAGTTGAGAAGAGAGTTAGCTTCATCTTCTCAGCCATATTCACTGAAAGTAGAGATTCCAACACAGTCAGCTGGAAGTTGTGGTTAATGGGTTGTGGTTCAAGTGTCACAGACTCTCAGCACTCATTTGAATTAGTACATTTTCTTAAACAAAAGTTTCCTTATTTGTTGTATTCCTGCCTGTAGAACATAAAATGATCATTTTGTTATAGTTTTTACCAGTTATGGTCGTTTCACTGGGGATGGCATCAGCAGGGAAGCTCATGCTGGCACTCTGGAGGTGGACCCCTCTCCACTTTACTACTAAGGCAGTCTGTTCCCATTGCTTTCTTAAGCTTTTCCTTTCTTCATCACTCACTTTTGGCATACAAATAGTCTTTCCCAAACCCTCTTTATTTTATGTTTAAGGGACTATCTGTTTTATTTATTGAATAGGTTTTTTTTTCCATCATCTAGGTTTAAAAAATAATTCCTTTATTTTAATGCAAAAAAAGAATTATTTTATTTTGACACATGTGGAACCTAATTTATTTTCCCTATGTAAAAATTTGGCCTGGACAGTAGGATACCTGTTGTAGAAGAGATAAGAGTAAAGTTAGAAGTTATATAAGGGGAGAAAGTAACTTAAGACAAAGAGCTAATCTCTAGGATATAAAAAGAGTTCTGGTAGAATAAAAAGGTTACAATACATGCATAAAATGTTCAGAAAAAGAAAGTAAATGTGTGTAGCATGTGAAAATACGCTTATCTCACTCATAATAAAGAAAAAATAATTAAAATGGTATTAAAATATATTTTTAAAGTTATATCTCCAGCAAATAACCAAAATGATGACAACACACTCAGTTGTCAAAGCTGTAAATGCCCTCCCACACACTGCAGTTGGGTGTGGAGACTTATTTAATCATATCAAGGGAAATTTGGTCATGTTTTTAACATGATCACATTAAATAACCACTGACTCATAGTTCCACTTCCAGGACTCTATACTGAAAATGCGGTTCTACAGATAGAATCAATGTATGCATTAGACTTTTCCCAGCAGTATTATATATAATGGTAAGAGATTGGAAACAATCCAAATGACTACCAATAGTTGACTTGGTGGGAAAAAAATAAAGCTACATAAAGGTGTAATAAGGAGGTGTAAAAAGCACAAGGAAGATTATGGAGTACTTGAATAATCCTTAGGCTATATATATCCAAAAAGATAAAGTGCCCGAGAAAAGCTATGCAGCCTTTTTTCTAAGGAAGGAAGGGCAACACACACATATGCACATACACACTTACAAACATACCCAACAATACACTCATACATCCATAAAAAAAAAGAACCATCAGAACGATAAACCAGAAACTAATTAAAGAGGGAAATCTCTACAAGATGTGAAGTTGGGGTAGAGACTGCAGAGAAGAGGATAGAAATGAAAGTGTAACTTTTTATAGTACAGCTTTTTATAGATTATGAATATATAAACTTTAAATTATGTAAGTGTATAACATATTGAACACATTTTAAAAAATCAAAGTGTTTTTTTTTTTTTTTGAGAGGGAGTCTCTATCGCCAAGGCTGGAGTGCAGTGGCACAATCTTTGCTTATTGCAACCTCTGCCTCCCAGGTTCTAGGGATCCTTCTGCCTCAGCCTCCCGAGCAGCTGGGATTACAGGCGCCTATCACCAAACCCGGCTAATTGTTTTGTGTCTTTAGTGGAGACGGGGTTTCACCATGTTGGCCAGGCTGGTCTTGAACACCAGACCTCAATTGATCCACCCGCCTCGGCCTCCCAAAGTGCTGGGATGACAGGCGAGAGCCACTGTGCAGGCCTCAAAATGATATGTTTGAATTGTGAAATTGGAAACAAACTAAACAAATAAACACAACTTGTATTAAGTTCATAGCAAAACTACAGAGTGAAAAAAATATTTCAAATTATTTTTTGTTTCTGTTTTTAAGACGGAGTCTCGCTCTGTTGCCCAGGCTGGAGTGCAGTCACCCTATCTTGGTTCACTGCAACCTCCGCCTCCTGGGTTCAAGTGATTCTCCTGTCTCAGCCTCCCAAGTAGCTGGGAATACAGGAACGTGCCACCATGCCCAGCTAATGTTTGTATTTTTAGTAGAGATGGGGTTTCGCCATGTTGGCCAGGCTGTCCTCAAACTCCGGACCTCAGGTGATCTGCCCACCTTGGCCTCCCACAGTGCTGGGATTACAGGTGTGAGCCACCGCACCTGGCGTATTCTCAATGATTTTTAACACAGTATCCTTTTGTCACATCTCTACTAGCTTTTGAGTATCAAAAATAGTAAGTAAGTACAATATATTTTGAGGACAAAAAGTAGTACATGTAAGCCAGACTCTTTTTGATACTCAAAAGCTAGTAGAGATGTGACAAAAGGACACAGGAGCCAGCCTGAATGGACTCAGTGGCCAAATATGACATAATGTGAGCATGAGAAAGAATAATGGGCATAAGTAAATATAAAACAGCAAGGGGGAAAAATCCTGATTTCTTAGTGTTACTAAAATAAAAAGAGGAAAAAGTTTTACTATCTTTGAAAATTACTATTACTTCAACTGCTTATTCCTTTATAGTCATTTTTTTTTTTACTTTTAAATTTTGTGTATACCTAGTAGGTATATATCAACTCCTTGTTCTTAGCATTAGTAATTAAAGGGAGATAATTTTTTACCTTCTCTTTTTAAGACAAATTGTAGTTCATATTGATTTGATGAGGTGAAAAAAGAAACCCCATTTTGTTATGTATGAAAATGACAGAATTAGACATTTTTTTAAAATTTATAACTAAATAGTTGATTTTTACAGAACCCTCAGTGGATACTGAAACTTTTAGAAGAAATGTTTTATTTCATAAACCAACATAGTAAAAGTATCATTCACTGCATATTTTCTAATTGCAAAGAAAATTACCAAACTATAAAATAAAGTGATATGGAGGTCATCTTAAATCATCAGTCAAATTTAGCATTACTACCTTTAAGACACCATGATATATTTGTCTTGATGTAATATTTTATGAAAAGCTCATGAAAGATGCTTACCGAAAGTGGCTAACATGATTTAATTTGGTCTTAGATCTAATTTCCAATTTGGCAGAAATATGGAGTTTAGAAAAACTGAGTTAGCAAATGGTAAAATCCATAATTTCAGATATTTAATAAAGTAGCATTGCGTTTTTTTAAAAAACCAGTAGAGCTCCTTTAAATTAAGAGAGAGAGAGAACATTTCTAACAACCATATGAAACTTAATTGCATCCTGGTTAAAAAATAACACTAAACTGAAGGCAAAACAGTTATGAAATGCATTAAAGGAACAGTTGGGGAGATTGTGATAAGACTTAGATAATAGCTAATACTCAATATTTATGATTAATATTGTTAGATGTGATAATGGCCTAGGCAGCATGGAGAATATTCTGATTATTAATAACAGATGGATGTTAGAGTATTTAAGGATAAAGTATCATCTGCTTTATTAAAGTGTCTTCCGCTTGTTTTGAAACAGTTCAAAAAGCATGCATTTGCACTTTAACATATAAAGTGGATGGAATGTTTATGTGCCCACTCAAAATTCATACGTTGATTCATATGTTGAAATCCTAACTCCCAAGGTGACGGTATTAAGAGGTGGGACCTTTCGGAGATGATTAGGTCTTGAGAGCAGAGCCCTCATGAAAGGAATTCGTGCTATGAAAGACCAGAGAGAGCTCCTGTCATCATGAGAGGTTACAGTGAAAAGAAGGCCATCTATGAAGAAGCGGGCCCTCACCAGACACTGAGTCTGCTGACGCCTTGATCTTAGACTTCCCTGTCTCCAGATCTGTAATAAAAGAATTTCTATTATTCATAAGCTACCAGTCTATGGTGTTTTGCTATAGCAGCCCAAACAGACTAAGACAACATATATATACAAAATGTATGGCAAAATGTTAACAGTTATTTAATTTTGGTTGTAGGTTTACTGGTATGTATTGCACTATTTTTAAAATTTTTATGTATGTTGAAAATTATTTGTAATAACAATTATAAACAAATCAAAAGAATAAGTTATTTTAAAAAGTGAGGTCAGAAACGTAGATAATAAAGTGTCAATTTTTGAGTACCTATAATGCTCCTCTCTTCTTGCTCTCTCTCCCTCTTTCTCTCCCTCTCTCTCTCTATATATATATATAGATATATAGATATATATATATAGATATATTGGATATAGATATAGATATATTGGAAACTTTTCTAGGGTACCACTGCATATGGAATTAATTACAGCTTTCTCTACCTATCCTGTAAGTACCTTACCTGCACTATGGTCTCTTAGAAAGTTACTTAACTACTTAATCCCTTAGTTACTATTTGTAAAAGGGAATAATAATATGAAAGTCTTAGACATGTTGAGAAGATTAAATGGCTCTCTCTCTCTCCCTCTCTCTCTCTATCTATCTATATATAGATCTATCCATATATATAGATATGTATATCTATATATATCTATCGATATATATCTAGATATATAGAATCTGTCCATATATAGATCTATCGATCAATAGATATATCGATAGATATATCTAGATATATATAAAGAGGGAGAGAGAGAGAGCCATTTAATCTTCTCAACATGTCTAAAAGTTTCATATTATTATTCCCTTTTACAAATAGTAACTAAGGGATTAAGTAGTTAAGTAACTTTCTAAGAGACCATAGTGCAGGTAAAGTACTTACAGGATAGGTAGAGAAAGCTGTAATTAATTCCATATGTGATGGTACCCTAGAAAAGTTTCCAATCACAGGCCAGGTGTGGTGGCTCATGCCTGTAATCCCAGCACTTTGGGAGGCCAAGGTGGGCGGATCACCTGAGGTAAAGTTCGAGATCAGCCTAGCCAACATGGTGAAACCCTGTCTCTACTAAAAATACAAACATTAGCCAGGTATGGGGGTGGGCACCTGTAACCACCCAGGTACTCTGGAGGCTGAGGCAGGAGAATTGCTTGAACCTAGGAGGTGGAGGTTGCAGTGAGCCAAGATTGCACCACTGCACTCCAGCAAGGGCAACAGAGCCAGACTCCATCTCAAAAAAAAAAAAAAAAAGAAAAAAAAAGAGAAACAGGAAAAACGAAAAGAAAGGTTTGCAATCACAGGCATATGACCAGAATCTTTAGTTTAGGAAGATTTATTTTGCTATTGCATTTATTAAGAACTGAAGTCAGGGAAGACAGCTGTAAAATACTTAGGAAACATTATAGTGAACAGATGGTACATGATAGAAGATACCGAGTGTAGGAGTGTAAGGTGGGGAGCAAAAGCCTAAGACATTTTGAATGTATACTATACATGACTTGGAATCTGACTAAAATTTAAGATAGAAAAAATGAGCCAAAAATGCTTAAAGCTTAGCATTACTAAAATGTGGTACAGCCATTAATTAAAACTTGTATTAGAATTTGGGGGGATGGCAAAACAAATTTTATGTTGGACATGTTGATTTGGGCAACAGTAGAAATAAAAGTGGGTTATTGACAATTTCAGCATGATGTCAGGTCAGGGCTGGAGTGTCATAAACTTTTGAGTCCCTGAAAATAAAGAAATCCCTAATGGTAGAGCATATGGAAAAAGAAAGTTTGGCAAAAGTTTTCAAGCGTTAAAACTTTGATTTTTTTTTCTCCAAGCAATTGGAGTATAACAAAGCCCCAAACGTAGAAATGTATGTGTAAGTATATGTATGTGTGTGTATATATATGTGTGTGTGTGTGTATGTATATATGCGTGTGTGTGTGTGTGTGTGTGTGTTAATGACAGAAATGTTAGAGGCATAACAGATAAAAGAAAAGTATAGTTTTAAGAGGTTTCTATGCAGGCAAGAAAGCAAGATAAGCCAAGGACTTTCTATTCCTTAGGCAATTAACAGTGTGTTGGTATATTAAAGATAATAGTAAATATGACAGCAGGAATTTGGATAAAGTATATCCATCACTTCATAATTTTAAACCTTTCTCTGCTTTAAGAAACTCTCTGAACTGCCTCTTAGGGTTGCCAGCTGAATATAGAAGACTTTCATTTTACTGACAGTAATTGTACTTTTCCTGTATAAATAGAGATCCTGACTTATAAAATAAAGTTCTTAAATCCCTTCCCATCACATAAGAAAAAAAAATGGACACACTTTGCCAAATTGAAATATTAGTGAATAAAGTCTCAAAGAAATAGGGACATTTTGTCTTCTCAGAGCACCTATTGAACAATTCTCTACATGATGTATCAGCTGCCCTCTGCTAAAAAGGTAAAGCATTCCAAGGATATTTGTACTGCTTCTCTCCTCTGCCAATAAAAGAGATGGATAAATTTATGATAAGATCTATTCTCAGTAAAGAATAGATTTTAAATATTTATTGAAGTTCATAGGCCTCTATGCAACTTTTATAGGACATTTCTCTGTATCACTAGTCAAGAAATGTCATCTGCATATATATTTTTTATTAAGTTTTTTGGTTTTTCAAGTATGTGAACTGCTTCATTGTATTTCTATTAGTTACATCTCAACACATTTGTTTAAATCTTTAAATTGTAGCATGGTTTAGAACACATATTGCATTCATTATTTAATTTACATGCTGATTTTATTTAAAACATAAATTTTTCTAATAGTGCAAAGTACAGGTTTCTATTTATTTAACTGTTACTTTTTCCTAATGTTGATTGTTTTTAGGTACCATAGTAGGCATCATTAAAACATTGTAAGAATGTGGTTTAGTTGTCTGTAGGTACTGTAGTAGGCATTAAAACCAGCATTGATATCAATGAGATAAAGATTGTCTCTTCTGATTATTTCTGAATTTAGCAGAAAATATCACATCCAGGAGAGGTTGATCATTTATAAAGATCCTGAAGAGACAGCTTTATCATGAATAGTCTCGATAAGTATAATATTAATTCATTCTAATTCTCAGCAAATGTGTTTCCTTGTTAGAGGCAAAATAACTAGACAGTGACTTTTAAAAGTTCTGTGGCTGTTGGCAGCAGTACATCAAAGTTTCAACTCATTTTGAAATTGTGGCACTAGGATATTTTATTAAGGGCAAAGAATGAGATAATGTATTCAAATAGTAATTGAACATGTTGCTTCTTAGCATCTGTTCACATGATGAAGGAGTTAGTGTTATCATAACTCAATTATACTGTGCTGTCCCTATGGTCAACATAAATAATGTTCATCTTCCATCTCATATATGTCTTATCAAAATAATTGTTACAGTCGCTTCTGTGTCCTGGATGTCTATGCACTGTTTCTCTATGTGAGGAGTGAGAAGATTCTAAAAGAGTCTATCAAGATAGTGAGGTATATACTAATATCCTGAATATGAAATTCTATGGCATTTTGTTTTTACAGAAATTATTAAAACAAATATTCCAACTTTTTGAATTATAAAAGAAAGGGTAAAATTGGTTCTAAATTTAAAATACATTCCTCAGTATAGCTTTAAGCAGAGCAAGACTAACTATAAAGATAGAAGTTATGCGGAAGTTGAAAAGGAATGTTTCTAAATTTTAATGATCTCTATCTGTAACTTTTTCCTAAATATGAATGCTTCCCTTTCAACAAGTTTTAGAATGCTGGCAATATTTCATTTCCCTGTGAGGGTTATAGGGTAGGAGTAGTAAGATAAATAGTTTGAGTCACTTATCTACTTTTTAGGCCTTGGTTCAAGTTTAACCAGAAAAGTTAAATTACTGTTTTTTTCTGGTTGTCAGGAAGAGTCACAAAGAGAAATTTATTAGTTGTAACTTCTGTCGATTGTGCAGTTACTGTACTCAAAAGACCAAGGCACATAAGCTTCAGGAAACGATTTAGTTTAGTTGCGTAAGGTCTCAGAAATCCAAATTGATAGTGGAAAGGGAATAGTGAGAGAATAAAAGGGTTGAAATTATATATTTTAGAGGAATTTACATTAGTATGTGAGCAATACAATATCCCCATCATAGAGAGTAATAAAAAGTGAATGTCTCTCTGCTATTTCTTTTATGCCTCCCTTGAATACTTTAAAAGGCTTGAGGGAGGTTCAAATCCCATTATACCTAAATTAGAATCCTAGTCTAAGAAAAGGGGAAGAAAGTTTAGTTTTCAAAGTCATCAAGATATATAGAGTTCATGACAGGGGAAAAAAGAGAACTCAGATTGTACGTACTTGTATCTAAACAAAGGTCTTGTGTTTTTCCGTGATAGGCTAATGCATTTGAGTCTTGCAACACTGCTGTTCTGTGGCTGCTGTTTCATTACCGCTGAGTAAGATGATTTGAGAAAAGGGCAGAGGCCAGGGAGTGGGTAATCAGAGACTAGGGCATCAGTTAAAAGGGAAAGGTTATTCAAAAGAAAAATCTCACAAGCTAAATATATATTTGAAAAGCCTCTGGAAGACACAGCTACGAAATGACTTTCCTTTAAAGGTATCTAGGTATGATCTAAAACCAGAATAATTCAGTAATAAAATGCCATATTCATTTTAATTTCTTCTAAGAATTCAATAAAATAATTGCGCTTTGAAGATACATAACTTCTTCTTGGTGGGTTTCCACATATTAATTTTTGTATGCAATTACAGTGAGGTGATCATAAATTATTGTTTTTTTTCTATCAACATACTTAATAATAATGTTGTTTTTGGACATGTAGAAAATCATGTGCATATCAGGGGAAATGAATACTTTTCAAACACTGAGCAGGAATATATTAGTAGCCATATTCTTATGCACTGAGTGTCTCCCTCTTCTAAAACTATGTTTGGTTTTTTTTTAAATTCTATTATAATACACAACTGAGAAGCCTTAGGATAATGTTTGCAACAGAACTGTCAGATGTGTATTTGCTGTTATTTTCATCATTAAATTGTATCATCAGTTTAGAGTGTCTTAAAAACAAAATATAACCAGGTTGAAGCTCCTTCCTCATCCCTGAAATGACACACCAACATACTGTCTCAAAAAGATGGTTCTTAGCTCTTTTGGTCGGCTACAACAAAAATATAATACATGGGCGGCTTATAAACAACAGAAATTTGTTGCTCACAGTTCTGGAGTCTGGGAAGTCCAAGCTCAAGGTGCCAACAGACTCAGGGTCTGGTGAGGGCTCTCTCTCTGGTTCTTAAATGGCTCCTTGCTGTGTCCCCACATGGTAGAACATGCCAGCTATCTCTCTGGGGTCTCTTTTATAAGGGTACTGTTTCATTCATGAGGGCTCCACCTTCCTGACCTAATCCTCTCCCAAAGGCTCCACCTTCTAATACCATCACACTGGGGACTGGGTTTCAATGTATGAATTTTGGGGAGACACAAACATTCAGACCATGGCAGATGGTCTGACGCTTTATCTTCCTTAACCCTCCTCCAGGTAAAAAAGTAGATACATTTCTTCAGTGTTTTAGAACTTGAAAGTAGAATAAATTTGAGGAAGTTTTTCTAGCCTTGAGGGAATGAATGCAAAATAAAGTACTTTCTTCCTGTGGGAGGAGGAAATAGTAGGTCTGGGAATGAATTTGAGGTCTTTCCAATATTGGGAGAAGAAATGGGTTCCAGCAGCAGAGTCTAGGACTCCACTTTTACTTATCATTTAGAATTGGAGGGTGGGGGAGGGAGGCTGCTGGTGAAGGAGAGGGTCTACTGTGAGTTACTATCCTTAATATACCTGAAGGAGTAACTCCTGAGGAAAAAAATAGTATAAACCTGAGTTCCTGAGCAATGTAGAGCCTGGGAACAAAAGTACAGCATTCTCCATGAAATGTACTTATGTCTTTGGCCATTTTTTGGCACTAGGACAACCAAGATTCTTAAATAAGCCCTTGTTAGCAGACGAAGGGTAGTTCCTAAAACAAGCAAGATTGCATTTTCCTGCTTCCTGGAAGCTGGGGACACAAAAGATCCTGACTGTGGTGTAGTGAAATACAGAAATGCAAAATGTCTCATACTCTATGTTTTGAAGTGTAAACAACTGAAGCTGTGCGAATGCAATAATAATAAAGCAAAGGTCAAACGTAACACGGTTCTGCCTGTAGTTTTTCTAGTGCTATTAACGTTTTTTTTTCATTTATTTATTTATTTATTTATTTATTTATTTATTTATTTATTTTGGGCCACTTCATATTGTTAAAGTAAAAAATGCACTGGACAAAGTTAATCAGGCAATGTAGACTTCGTTCAAGGCTGTTGAAATAGGGGAGAGGCCATAACTCAGTCTGAGCTGAACTCCTCTAAGACAAAGCGTGGACGATCTTTTAAAAATGAGGGCGAGAAGGATCCACGAGTCATCTGTGTTTGTTAATTGGCTTTACCCTAAGGAAAAATAGACTTTCTTCATGACAGGAGGGAGTTTTACAACTTGGAGTAAGGTGCCCACCAAAGTTAGGCTCCTACTTTCCCTTAGAGACGGGGAGATCAGGGCATTATCTCTATGGTGATTATATTTCAAAAGGGTGGCTCCCGGATCCTGGAGAAACTTAGTCCTAGGTTGTAAAGCTTATAAGAGTTTTTAAAAGATTTACATGTCAAAGGCTAGAAAGTTAAAAGTTCTCTATGTTAATTGCTCTAAGAAAAGGAAGGTGAGGAACTTAAACAACCTATCTAACGTTAAGCTGAGAAGAATGTTAAGGCCTTTTTTGGTCAATATGCAAAATTAAGTACCACAAGGTTAAGAACATTTTGTGAATTTGACCATGTCAGTATAATTATCACTTTTTTCCTACTACTGTCAAATTCTGATTCTAAAGTTGCCTTTCATTCCCACTCTCAACATTCTGAAAATAACTAAAATCAAGAAAATGTCATTTTAAGAACAAATAAAAAACACATAGCTTTTATAAATCCTGAGGCCCAAGCAACCAAGGCTCTGCAGAGATTTGCACTTATTAAAGCACAGTCCATTGCACAAATAAAAATAAATGCAATCACTTAATTGTGTCTTAAGGAACATTACAGAAAATTCATTTCATTATTCATGTAATCACTTCTCAAAGCCCCCTTTTCTCCCCAGTACTCTCATTCAAAGAACTGGTCCAGGGCCCTTCAGTCACTGAATTCCACAAAACTCTTACACAAGCCCAAATCTGAGGTCGTTTCTCTCTCTCTCTCTTCATCTTTCCCCCACTCTGCAAACCTATCTCTCTCTCTCTTTTTTGCATCAAAGGGTGAATATCAGTTTTTTTAGATAAAGATCAGAATCTGTACAGATTATATCCATTCAAGCCTGTTAAGTCTCTTTGCAACTCCTAGCATCTTAGACTAATCTGTAAAGTAAGATAAGATTGTTATGTGGTCAATATCAAAATTTCTATTACAGTTGCTACTATTTTTAATCCTGTTTGGTAAGGATCAATTACTTATGTTTCAAACTGAAATAAGCCAACTTGTTTTCTAAGAAACGAGTGAGTATATAAAGGCCACGTTAAAATGCTATTTTTTACAGCATTATAGAAGATATTGTGAGGGTTCTTCTTTAATTTACTTCAGAGAAGAAATATTGGAAGGTACAGGCAGAAGCTAAGAAGAAAGAAAAGCACACAGATAACCAACTACAATTGGCAAAACACGTGATTTATTTAAACTAAATAAATTGGGAAAAATGATGGTCAGAGTGCCAGTCAGTGTTCACAAGAATTATGGTACTAGCGGCCAGGTGTGGTGGCTCACACCTGTAATACCAGCACTTTGGGAGGCTGAGGCGGGTGGATCACGAGGTCAGGAGATTGAGACCATCCTGGCCAACATGCTGAAACCCCGTCTCTACTTAAAAAAATACAAAAAATTAGCTGGGCGTGGTGGCGGGTACCTGTAGTCCCAGCTACTTGGGAGGCTGAGGCAGGAGAATGGTGTGAACCCAGAAGGCCGAGCTTGCGGTGAGCCGAGATTGCGTGACTGCACTCCAGCCCACTGCACTCCAGCCTGGGCGACAGAGCGAGACTCTGTCCCGAAAAAAAAAAAAAAAAAAAAAAAGAATTGTGGTACTAGCTGGAAGGCTGGGTGAGGGTAGTGCCATAAATAGGGAAATAAGACACTAAAAAAGGAGCAAATTGTGTCACCTAAAATAGGTGAAAGCAACAAATATGATAAGCATTTAGAGAAAATAGTTATTTTGACCTTTTCCAATGTCTACACCGCAGGGGACCTTTTTGTGAAGTATATTTTGAAGGTAATTCGCACTTTTCTGTACGTTTAAAACAACACAAAATGTTATCATGAAAGGTTTTGTTTTCATCTATTACTTCCAAAAGGTTTGTTTTATTTTGATCATTAAACACTTTTGTTCTGTTAGTCCTTTTAGCATGAAAGCATTAAAATAATTGATATCTTAACATTGCAATTTATTAGTATTATTGTCTGTATTAACTATATTTGCTAGTTTCAGGTTGCTTTTGGTTTTTCAATATTTCCAAATATTCTATAGGTGACTTCAAGCAGTAGTTCCCACATTTTGAGCAGCAGTAACCTTATCTGAGAAGTTATTATAGATGCAAATTCTTACGCCCAACTGTAGACTCACTGAATGAAAAACTCTGGGATGGGTAACATAAGCTGAATTTTTAAGCCCTCCAGATGTTATGATGCATGCTAAAGTTTGAGACATTTGGCTTATGATACTTACCTGCAAATACTGGCTCAAAGTCTTTAGCTGAATACATGGAGTCCTTTCACTCCTCTACCTGCTTGTAGAGCATTTTTTATTATCATATATTTGTGTATGAATTTATTCATTTGTGATGGACAATAAAATGACCACAATGTATTTTCAATAATATTAAAAATCTTAAAAAACAATATGTAAATTACCTTTTGAGTGTTTCTAATGTTTTATGGGTGCTGGATCTCCCTCTATATGAAAATATAATATTCTGAATAAATGAAAGAAAACTACTACTCTTTAGAGAAATTTAACATGATAAACTAAGGGAATGAACTCAGAAAAAAATTAAAAATAACAATATATGTTAGTCATAAAATATATAAGGAAATAGCAAAAAAAAAAGTCATAAGTTCCCAAATGATCTTTTAAAATAACTATTTAACAGAATGTCCTTCCCAGCAATCCATCCAAGATGTAAAAGAGATAATGATGCCATCTGCACGTTGTGTCCAAAGCTGCAAGGAGGCACTGGGGCATCTGCTCTCTCCACCCACGGTGTAACAAAATGGGATTCTGCCATCAGGACATCAGGGGAAGGCTCCATGTATTTGGCATCTTTAAGAAATTAGGAGATCAAATAAATTAATTTTTATATTAAAAACTTAGATACCAATAAATGATGTTAATCATTTTAAGAGGAAATAATATATTTTATATTATTATATATTATAAATATTATTAAATATTTAATAAGTTCTCTGTGCTCTTACACATTTCATTAAGCAGAGAATCCTGAGTGAGGATATAGGGAAAGTTCTTGGTGTTCTTAAATATCAACTATGAAACTCCTCTTGATTTCTGTGATTCTTTTTGTGATGTCACAGTGAATATGATGATTTGCTCCTTTCCCTAAATGCCATTGAACTGTAATAAAACTATTCTGGTCTGCCCATTGATCTCCAGGGGAGAAAATAAAACAAAAACACAAAAGTCTAGGAAAATGAAAGAATTGAGAAATATTTCAAACACTCTCAAAGGAGTCGACTGATGAGGATGAAATAAGAAAAAAATAATTCTTACATAGCCCATTAAATATATGGAATCAGGTTGTGAGGAGAAAGTAGGATAAACAGACTGGTTATTGGTAGGTTCCTTTTGAGATGTGTGTAGAGCATCCATGTGGAGATAACTAAGTGGCCACTGAAAATATAGATCTAGTTTAATGAGAGCAGTTAGGACTGGAAACACAAGTTAGTAGTCATTGTCATATCAGTTATAAATAACATTGATTTCTGGTTGGTATTATTTAGCAATAATTTAATGAAAAGAAGACAACAGACATTACAGCCCAAAGAAACAGTAACATTTAAGAAGTGTGTGATTGAAGTTGACACAGTGAAAGTAAATAAACAAGTAGCAAAAGATTGGAATGGGAATGTCATGGGAACTAGGGGAGAATTAACTTCAAGGAGAGATTGATTTATTGCATTGATCCCAAAATGAAGTCAGGATTAGCAGAGAGTCTTGACTTTTGTAATCATTAGATTGGATGATTTTTGTTAGAGCAATTTAAACATTAGAGGTGAAAGATATGTTGTCATGAGTTGAGAAGTAAATGGGAAATTAAAAATCAAAGCAGTGAGTACAGGTTTTGTGTTTTGTTTTATTTTTAAGTTTTAGGTTTGGGGGTACACTTGAACGTTTGTTACATAGGTAAATTCACATCACAGTGATTTGCTGTACATATTATTTCATCAGCCAGGTATTAAGCTCAGTCCTCGATAGTTATTTTTCTGCTCCTCTCCCTCTCCTCACTCTCCTCACTCTCCACACTTAGACCTCAGTGTCTGTTGTTCCCTTCTTTGTGTTCATATGTTTTTATTTAGCTCCAACTTATAAGTGAGAGCATGCAGTATTTGGTTTTCTGTTCCTGCATTAGTTTGCTAAGGATAACAGCCTCCAGCTCCATCCAAGTTCCTGGCCTCCAGCCACCCCCTCACTAGAGTACACATTATGTTGATGATGAAGGGAAAACAGCAAATTGGGTAATAGGTAGGAAAATCGGGCATTCTCTTTAGAATGGAGTGACAAATATATGGCATGTTCACAAATATGGAGGCCCAGCTTTGGAAAACAGTAAGAGCATAGCTTTCTCAGAACAGTAGGAACAGAACTCAGTATGGAAAAAAGAAAAGCGGGAGGGGGTCTTGGAAGTGAAAACGTGACAATTGGTTCAATTGAAGCATAGTATTAAGTGTGCTTTTTATACCAGTATAATAATTTCTAAATTTGTTTTAAATGTCTATATACAGATAATTTTCAGACCTATTAACTTAAGACATTTAAATATAATACAAATGCACTTTTAGCATAACGATAATTTTGAAACATCCAAAAAACTTAGAATGACCATATTAATGGTGACTAGGGCTGTTTCTCCAAGTTAAAATTTTATACAAAACCTGGAACCTAAAACATAGTCTAAACAAAAAAAGTCTATGAGCCAAGCAAGGCTAAATTTGATTTAGCCTATAATAGTTTGAAATCCAATTTTGGATAAATCCCTTACTCAAAGCACTTACAACAATTAAATTATGTTTTATTTTTATCATTTCTACTTCACTCTTGCATTTTTTTCACAATTTGTTCCACATTACCTAAAAAGATTATTTTACTATGTTATTTAAAACACATATGTGAATTTACTAATTATTAAAAACCTCACATGCAGTATTTTATAAATGCCAGAACATTATTACAGTGGACAAAGTTTCGGAAAACAAGCGTTTCATTTATGAAAACTTTCAAAGTCTATATTATTTGTATCACAGTTGTATCATGTTTACACATTCCCACATATGTATATTTACAAAGATAAGACTTTTCATGTGACTCTTTTTTCACACATGTGCAGAAATATGCAAGAAATTGATGTACTCTATAGTAATAGATGTATATTAATATAGGTATACATAATCACCTCATTTCATGTTGTGGTACTTGTCTTGGTCTGTTCAGGTTGCTATATAAAACACCTTAAACTGGACGGCTTGTAAACAACAAAAATTTATTTCTCATATTTCTGGAGGATGGGAAGTCCAAGATCAAGATGCTAGCAAATTCATGTCTGGTGGGGACCCATTTTCTAGTTCATAGATAGTCAGCTGTCTTCTTACTGTGTTCTCATGATGAAAAGGTCAAATGAGCTCCCTCTGGCCTCTTTCATAAGAATAATACTCCTATTCATTAGAGCAAAGCCCTCAGGACCTAATCATTTGGTAAAAGTCTCACCTCCCAATTAAACCCAGCTGTGAAGGTTAAGATTTCAACATATGAATTTGGGGGCGGGTGAGGAGGTGGAAATAAACATTCAGCTCACTGCAGTGTTTTTTAACTCTTTTGGCCAAATATCCCACTTCCCCTCTTTCCAGACATATCATATTGAGAGACAGGACTAGCTGGATTTCCTAGGCCAACTAAGAATTCCTAAGCCTTGCTGGGAAGGTGACTGCATCCACCTTTAAACACGGAGCTTGTAACTCAGCTCACACCCAACCAATCAGGTAGTAAAGAGGGCTCACTAAAACACCAATTAGGCTAAAAACAGGAGGTAAAGAAATAGTCACATCATCTATCATCTGAGAGCACAGGGGAAGGGACAATGATTGGGATATAAACCCCAGCCATTAAGTGGGGAGTGGGAAACCCCCTTTGGGTCCCCTCCCATTGTATGGGAGCTCTGTTTTCACTCTATTAAATCATGCAACTGCATACTCTGCTGGTCCATGTTTGTTCCAGCTGGAGCTGAGTTATCACTCGCCGTCCACCACTACTGATCCCTGCGTTGCAGACCTGCCGCTTACTTCCATCCCTCCAGATCGGGCAGGGTGTCTGCTGCGCTTCTAATCCAGCAAGGCGCCTAATGCCACTCCTGATCGGGCTAGAGGCTCGCCATTATTCTGTGCAGCTAAGTGCCCAGGTTCATCCTAATCTAGCTTAACACTAGTCGCTGGGTTCCATGGTTCTCTTCCGTGACCCAGGGCTTCTAATAGAGCTATAACACTTACTGCATGGCCCAAGGTTCTATTCCTTGGAATCCTTGAGGCCAAGAACCCCAGGTCAGAGTGCAAGAGGCTTGCTGCCATCTTGGGGGCTCTGGGAGCAAAGACCCGCTGCTAACAGTATGACGGTACATCTAGCTTCCTTCTGTTTGGTTGAGGCAACGTCAATATTTTTCACTAAGGGGAGAAGTTGGCTGGAAGTAACGTGTTCCTCTGTGGGAAGAGCAATTAAATACTCATGAGAGAATTGCAGGCTCACTTTTTTTGCTGATATGGACATTGGTAATACATCATCAGCCAGGTCCAAAGGGAGGACAATGATCCGAAGAATGTAGTTCTAGTGAACCCGTGATAGCTTTGTCTTATAAGCAAGAAATAAGCTTTTGTTACTTTAGCCTCTGAGATTTGGGGATTATTTTTTCAAACAGCATAAGTTAGTCTACCATGACCAATTTACTTATCAACCTTTTGAAAAAGTTGTTAACTGTCCAATTAATGGTGTTACCAAATGAAGTGGTATCCAATTAAAGTTTTCCTCACTCAGACTTTCTTGAGACTTAATGAGAATAAAAACTGAGCAATTTTCCCTTATTACCAATGGTATATTTCGTCAGAATATGGCTTTTTTGTTTTACAAGCATACATAATTATTGTTGTCAGTGGATTTTGAATTTTTAGCAAAATTGTTATCAAGATAACTAGTAACATTGGGAAGTCTAATTCTATTATTTTTTAGGAAAATCATCAATTCGCTAAGCTCTGATTAACTCTTACAGATTTTTAAAAATCTAGCCCTCTTCAATAAAAAGCTATTTTCTTGAATACATTCCTATTCAAAGATCTGCAACTTTATGTAATTTCTGACCTGAATTGCACAGATACTTGGTAGTTGTGTGTTTAGATATAAACAGTCTAGGTTCCTTTCAGAAAAGGTCTAGAGCAGTAATTCTCAAAAATGGGGTGGAGGTATATCAGAAGGATCTCAAGTCAGAATTCCTTGAGTCAGAATCTAAATCCATTATTTGCTAACTGCGTGATCTTGGGAAATTACTTAACCTTATTAAAACACAATCATTCTCATTTATAAAACAAAAATAAGAGTAGGAACTATCTCAATATATTATGTAAAATGTTATACAAAACCTGGAACCTAAAACATAGTCTAAACAAAAAAAATCTATGAGCGAAGCAAGGCTAAATTTGATTTAGCCTATAATAGTTTGAAATTACAAACTATTATACAAACAGACTAGAGAGCATTTGAAGAGTTGTGTATTCACTGGGAGTTTAATAAAGGCATTTCAGAATAATATTTGCTGGATGAGATGCATATCTGCTTGCTGTCCCACGGGACAATAAATTATAACTTTGGGGTTATTTTTCTCTTCTGAACAGAAAGTATTTGCATCTCTACTGGACAAAAGTCTATAAGCAAACTAAATCTGGGACTTTTAAATGATAATCTTTTTTTATTATACTTTAAGTTTTAGGGTACATGTGCACAACGTGCAGGTTAGTTACATATGTATACATCTGCCATGTTGGTATGCTGCACCCAGTAACTCGTCATTTAACATTAGGTATATCTCCTAATGCTATCCCTCCCCCCTCCCCCCACCCCACAACAGGCCCCAGTGTGTGATGTTCCCCTTCCTGTGTCCATGTGTTCTCATTGTTCAGTTCCCACCTATGAGTGAGAACATGTGGTGTTTGGTTTTTTGTCCTTGTGATAGTTTGCTGAGAATGATGGTTTCCAGCTTCATCCATGTCCCTACAAAGGACATGAACTCATCGTTTTTTATGGCTGCATAGTATTCCATGGTGTATATGTGCCATGTTTTCTTAATTGAGTCTATCATTGTTGGACATTTGGGTTGGTTCCAAGTCTTTGCTATTGTGAATAGTGCCGCAATAAACATACGTGTGCATGTGTCTTTATAGCAGCATGATTTATAATACTTTGGGTATATACCCAGTAATGGGATGGCTGGGTCAAATGGTATTTCTAGTTCTAGATCCCTGAGGAATTGCCACACTGAATTCCACAATGGTTGAACTAGTTTACAGTCCCACCAACAGTGTAAAAGTGTTCCTATTTCTCCATATCCTCTCCAGCACCTGTTGTTTCCTGACTTTTTAATGATCACCATTCTAACTGGTGTGAGATGGTATCTCATTGTGGTTTTGATTTGCATTTCTCTGTTGGCCAGTGATGATGAGCATTTTTCATGTGTCTTTTGGCTGCATAAATGTCTTCTTTTGAGAAGTGTCTGTTCATATCCTTCGCCCAATTTTTGATGGGGTTGTTTTTTTCTTGTCAATTTGTTTGAGTTCATTTTAGATTCTGGATATTAGCCCTTTGTCAGATGAGTAGATTGCAAAAATTTTCTCCCATTCTGTAGGTTTCCTGTTCACTCTGATGGTAGTTTCTTTTGCTGTGCAGAAGCTTTTTAGTTTAATTAGATACCATTTGTCAATTTTGGCTTTTGTTGCCATTGCTTTTGGTGTTTTACATATGAAGTCCTTGCCCATACCTATGTCCTGAATGGTATTGCCTAGGTTTTCTTCTAGGGTTTTTATGGTTTCAGGTCTAACATGTAAGTCTCTAATCCATCTTGAATTAATTTTCCTATAAGGTGTAAGGACAGGATCCAGTTTCAGCTTTCTACATATGGCTAGCCAGTTTTCCCAGCACCATTTATTAAATAGGGAATCGTTTCCCCATTTCTTGTTTTTGTCAGGTTTGTCAAAGATCAGATGGTTGTAGATATGTGGCATTATTTCTGAGGGCTCTGTTCTGTTCCATTGGTCTATATCTCTGTTTTGGTACCAGTAACATGCTTTTTGGTTACTGTAGCCTTGTAGTATAGTTTGAAGTCAGGTAGTGTGATGCCTCCAGCTTTGTTCTTTTGGCTTAGGATTGACTTGGCAATGCGGGCTCATTTTTGTTTCCATATGAACTTTAAAGTAGTTTTTTCCAATTCTGTGAAGAAAGTAATTGGTAGCTTGATGGGGATGGCATTGAATCTATAAATTACCTTGGGCTGTATGGCCATTTTCATGATATTGATTCTTCTTACCCATGAGCGTGGAATGTTCTTCCATTTGTTTCTGTCCTCTTTTATTTCATTGAGCAGTGGTTTGTAGTTCTCCTTGAAGAGGTCCTTCACATCCCTTGTAAATTGGATTCCTAGGTATTTTATTCTCTTTGAAACAATTGTGAATGGGAGTTCACTCATGATTTGGCTCTCTGTCTGTCTGTTATTGGAGTATTAGAATGCTAGTGATTTTTGCACATGGCTTTTGTATCCTGAGACTTTGCTGAAGTTGCTTATCAGCTTAAGGAGATTTTGGGCTGAGATGATCGGGTTTTCTAGATATAAAATCATGTCATCTGCAAACAGGGACAATTTGACTTCCTCTTTTCCTAATTGAATACCCTTTATTTCCTTCTCCTGCCTGATTGCCCTGGCCAGAACTTCCAACACTATGTTGAATAGGAGTGGTGAGAGAGGGCATCCCTGTCTTGTGCCAGTTTTCAAAGGGAATGCTTCCAGTTTTTGCCCATTCAGTATGATATTGGCTGTGGGTTTGTCATAGATAGCTCTTATTATTTTGAGATACTTCCCATCAATACCTAATTTATTGAGAGTTTTTAGCATGAAGTGTTGTTGAATTTTGTCAAAGGCCTTTTCTGCATCTATTGAGATAATCATGTGGTTTTTGTCGTTGGTTCTGTTTATATGCTGGATTATGTTTATTGATTTGTGTATGTTGAACCAGCCTTGCATCCCAGGGATGAAGCCTGCTTGATCATAGTGGATAAGCTTTTTGATGTGCTGCTGGATTCAGTTTGCCAGTATTTTATTGAGGATTTTTGCCTCGATATTCATCAGGGATATTGGTCTGAAATTCTCTTTTTTGGTTGTGTCTCTGCCAGGCTTTGGTATCAGGATGATGCTGGCCTCATAAAATGAGTTAGGGAGGAGTCCCTCTTTTTCTATTGATTGGAATAATTTCGGAAGGAATGGTACCAGCTCCTGCTTGTACCTCTGGTAGAATTCGGCTGTGAATCCATCTGGTCCTGCACTTTTTTTGGTTGGTAAGCTCTTAGTTTTTGCCTCAATTTCAGAGCCTGTTATTGGTCCATTCAGAGATTCAACTTCTTCCTGGTTTAGTCTTGGGAGGGTGTATGTGTCAAGGAATTTATATATTTATTCTGGATTTTCTAGTTTATTTGCTTAGAGGTGTTTATAGTATTCTCTGATGGTAGTTTGTATTTCTGTGGGATCGGTGGTGGTATCCCCTTTATCATTTTTTATTGCATCTATTTGATTCTTCTCTCTTTTCTTCTTTATTAGTCTTGCTAAAGGTCTATCAATTTTGTTGATCTTTTCAAAAAACCAGCTCCTGGATTCATTGATTTTTTGAAGGGTTTTTTGTGTCTCTATTTCCTTCAGTTCTGCTCTGATCTTAGTTATTTCTTGCCTTCTGCTAGCTTTTGAATGTGTTTGCTCTTTCTTATCTAGTTCTTTTAATTGTGATGTTAGGGTGTCAATTTTAAATCTTTCCTGCTTTCTCTTGTGGGCATTTAGTGCTATAAATTTCCCTCTACACACTGCTTTGAATGTGTCCCAGAGATTCTGGAATGTTGTGTCTTTGTTCTCATTGGTTTCAAAGAACATCTTTATTTCTTCCTTCATTTTGTTATGTACCCAGTAGTCATTCAGGAGCAGGTTGTTCAGTTTCCATGTAGTTGAGCGGTTTTGAGTGAGTTTCTTAATCCTGAGTTCTAGTTTGGTTGCACTCTGGTCTGAAAGACAGTTTATAATTTCTGTTCTTTTGCATTTGCTGAGGAGTGCTCTACTTCCAACTATGTGGTCAATTTTAGAATAAGTGCAGTGTGGTGCTGAGAAGAATGTATATTCTGTTGATTTGGGGTGGAGAGTTCTGAAGATGTCTATTAGGTCCACTTGGTGCAGAGCTGAGTTCAATTCCTGGATATCCTTGTTACCTTTCTGTCTCGTTGATCTGTCTAATATTGACAGTGGGGTGACCCCCAAGTAGCCTAACTGGGAGGCACCCCCCAGTAGGGGCAGACTGACACCTCACATGGCCGGGTACTCCTCTGAGACAAGACTTCCAGAGGATTGATCCAGTAGCAACATTTGCTGCTCACCAATATCCGCTGTTCTGCAGCCTCCGCTGCTGATACCCAGGCAAACAGGGTCTGGAGTGGATCTCCAGCAAACTCCAACAGACCTCCAGCTGAGGGTCCTGACTGTTAGAAGAAAAACTGACAAACAGAAAGGACATCCACACCAAAACCCCATCTGTACGTCACCATCATCAAAGACCAAAAGTAGATAAATCCACAAAGATGGGGAAAAAACAGAGAGCAGAAAAACTGGAAACTCTAAAAATCAGAGTACCTCTCCTCCTCCAAAGGAATGCAGCTCCTCACCAGCAGCAGAACAATGCTGGACGGAGAATGACTTTGATGAGCTGAGAGAAGAAGGCTTCAGACGATCAAACTTCCGAGCTAAAGGAGGAAGTTCGAACCCATGGCAAAGAAGTTAAAAACCTTGAAAAAAAATTAGACGAACGGATAACTAGAATAATCAATGCAGAGAAGTCCTTAAAGGACCTGATGGAGCTGAAAACCAAGGCAGGAGAACTACGTGACGAATGCACAAGCCTCAGTAGCCGATTTGTTAACTGGAAGAAAGGGTATCAGTGATGGAAGATCAAATGAATGAAATGAAGCAAGAAGAGAAGTTTAGAGGAAAAAGAGTAAAAAGAAGTGAACAAAGCCTCCCAGAAATATGGGACTATGTGAAAAGACCAAATCTACATCTGATTGGTGTACCTGAAATTGACAAGGAGAATGGAACCACGTTGGAAAACACTCTGCAGGATATTATCCAGGAGAACTTCCCCAATCTAGCAAGGCAGGCCAATATTCAAATTCAGGAAATACAGAGAATGCCAAAAAGATACTCCTCGAGAAGAGCAACTCCAAGACACATAATTGTCAGATTCACCAAAGTTGAAATGAAGGAAATAATGTTAAGGGCAGCCAGAGAGAAAGGTTGGGTTACCTACAAGGGGAAGCCCATCAGACTAACAGCTGATCTCTCGGCAGAAACTCTACAAGCCAGAAGAGAGTGGGGGCCAATATTCAACATTCTTAAAGAAAAGAATTTTCAACCCAGAATTTCATATCCAGCCAAACTAAGCTTCATAAGTGAAGGAGAAATAAAAACCTTTACAGACAAGCAAATTCTGAGATATTTTCTCACCACCAGGCCTGCCCTAAAAGAGCTCCTGAAAGAAGCACTAAACTTGGAAAGGAACAACCAGTACCAGCCACTGCAAAAACATGCCAAATTGTAAAGACCATCAATGCTAGGAAGAAACTGCATCAACTAATGAGCAAAATAACCAGCTAACATCATAATGACAGAATCAAATTCACACGTAACAATATTAAGCCTAAATGTAAATGGGCTAAATGCTCCAATTAAAAGACACAGACTGGCAAATTGGATAAAAAGTCAAGACCCATCAGTGTGCTGTATTCAGGAAACCCATCTCATGTGCAGAGACACACATAGGCTCAAAATAAAGGGATGGAGGAAGATCTACCAAGCAAATGGAAAACAAAAAAAGGCAGGGGTTGCAATCCTAGTCTCTGATAAAACAGACTTTAAACCAACAAAGTTCAAAAGAGACAAAGAAGGCCATTACATAATGGTAAAGGGATCAATTCAACAAGAAGAGCTAACTATCCTAAATATATATGCACCCAATACAGGAGGACCCAGATTCATAAAGCAAGTCCTTAGAGACCTAGAAAGAGACTTAGACTCCCACACAATAATAATGGGAGACTGATAATCTTAATAGATGCAAATACCTTAGCTCACTCTGTCATGCTGTTGTCTAATGGGTGGCTATCACTCCTACTCCTCTCATCCTACCATTTCAACCTTTTACAGCCAATTTCCAGCAAACTGTGTATTTATTTATGAGCTTGTTTATTTCAGAAACTACTTTCATGCAAAGCAGAACAGAAATTCTGGTGAATTAACCCCCTTCCCCTTCTCATCCTCCCAATCCAGGATGCAGCCCCCAACAATTACTGATGGAAGTTTGGGTATACACACCTTAGCTTTCTTAGTCTATCAGGTGGGATAATTCTGAAGTGTGTGTTTTTTACGGTTGATCAGAGTTTCCTAGGGGAATAACCTCTAAGCACCCACTTTAATAGTTGATTTAATTTCATTTTCTACATTCTCTTTCATCTACCAACTTACTCAACTTTAGGTGTGTTTTATATCTCCTAAAAAACTACTTCTACTCAAACTTTTTGCTCAAGGTCTGTTTCTGGAGACTCCCAACTAAGGTATTCCTGTCTTGGAAAAGTTCTCAAGACCTACCATATTCTCCATCAATCAGTCAAGGTTGTAGGGTTAGTTGACTAAATATGTGCCTGAGTTAAGCCTGTTATTCAAGAATAATTGCTAATGCTCCCCTAACTCACTCTCAAAAGAACAGGTATGGGAAAATCTTCTTTCCCCACCTCCCACCAACCCACTCAATAAAGTTGTATCTCTCATTAGACACCATCGTAAAACATAGCAGCATTTATTTTTTTTTCTGTGATACTAATTTTTCTCTCTGTATTTGATTGTAATATCTACAAAGATCTTGTCCATGGTGCTCATCACTGTATGAAACCTACAATACCTCATAACATAATAGGTAATTGACAAATACTACTTGAATGTTGTTCATAAAATAGAGAAAATAGAAGCAAACATAAAAGTGATGCTGTTAACTTTTCAAAGAGGTGAAGACAACCATAGACAATTTTCCATCACATGTATTTTTTGGTGAAATAAAAAGAAGACATATTATAAATTTACATATTTTTAGGTGTTAACTCATAAAACAGTTAAGAAACAATGCTATGATCATTGTTTTAAATTCCATCATCTACTTTTATTTTGATGTATGCATTCACTATACTATTCATTATGGACCATATGATATTTATTATTAAATAAAGTAAGAGCTGTATGATAGATACCAATAAGCCAATTTATTTGACAATAAGCCCTTTTTTAATAATTGCTTATCCATGACTTATTATATATATAGAAAAATTATCAGTAAGCCAGTCATATTTGTTCAGAACAGGTTATGTAATGCATTTGTAGTATTGTATTGATGACCATTTTAAGGTATACAGCATGAGGTTATAAGACACATATATATAGCAAACATTATCTTTATTGATATGTCTGTTTCCCTTTTTTTCTAATTACTATGTTAATTACTGTGAATGCTCCACAATGAAGGGCTAAAATGATAGATCTTAAGAAGACTCAAATATATAATATGCATTAGATATTTTTTATAAAATATTAATAAATTTAGACACTTTGTAGGCATCAAAGATTGATATCCTGATAACATTATTAGACTTTGAGCAGAAAAAGATTCAAAAGCATATTTTAAAAATATGAAACCTACTTATTTTATCAAAATAAAAAATATTTCACGGTAAAATCAATCATCTCTCTTAATGCAGTTCAGCAAGGTCATTTCTTGTAGGTCTTAATGTAACAGAAAAGCATTTAGCTCAAAAAATTTCTGGCAGGTCTAAAGATGTTTGAATTTTATAGCTGTCCTTGATCACCTTTCTTGGAGTGGGGGTTAAGAGGAAGAGGGCTGCAGGTGAGCAATGATTACATGAATGATAAGTTCTTTGATGGATCGATTTTTTTCACGTTTTTAATTTAGAAGGTAAAACTTTCTATCACAATTTAAGCTAAAAATTATGGCTGAGATAATAGAGGTCTGATTCCAGTGCAAGTTAAAGAGGAAAAAGTTGCTGCTCAAATGTCAAGACATCCTGTGGTCCGGGATGATTAAAACTAAACTGTTTGCTATATGAATCCCAAGGTGCAGCTATACCTCAGCTTTGGTGACATTTAGCCGGTGACTTTTCATAGCTTGTTAATAATGTATAGCTGTCCCTATATAAATTTGCAGTGACAGAAGTGGCCATTTGGAGTGGAGCAGTTAATGAGATTTATTCGTGACAGAAAATGCAGATTTGAAAATATTTCTAAAAAATCAGGATTCATGTCAAAAGAAATCATGTATTTAAAAGACAATAGCATCATAACATTTTTCAGGTGTTGTAACTAAAATCACAGAACTTTGTCAAGCAACATTTGTTCTATTTTTAATCATTCTATACAGTGCAAGCCCCAGCTCCCTCTGCAACTTGGTCCTACTTATCCTGCCAAATCGGAAAACTTCACCTTGCAAATCACTTCCTCAGAGGGCATTTTCTCACCTTTGACTTGGTTAGTTCCATATAATTCATGTTTCCCATTATAAGACTAACCATACATTTTTGTAATTGCTTGTTTGATGCCTGTCTTTCCCTCTAGACAACAGTAGCATGTTTCTTAGCCAATTTTTGGATTTCAATGAATCCTTAAATGATTATTGAATGATCAGATCAACACTAGCAAGTAGAGATATGCATATTATTTGTAAAAGTGAGAGGTATCATTAATTTATTAGACAATTGAACTTTTATAAGAAAAATTCAGTGCATAGTCTATTAATATTAATCTCCCATTAGTTATTTTGCTCTAGTAGAAACAGAAAACTGCTGTTTCCAATAATGTCTGTTTCTAATATTTCAATTTAAAACCTGACATATACAAATAATGCATAAACTATAAAACATCTTAAGGTAAATATGAAGAGACTGAATGCAGAAAAAGGAATATAGGAAAGGAAATGATTTTCAAGTTAGCAATTCATCTTGGTTTAACATCTTTATGAATATAAATAATCTCCAACATTTGCTTATTTGAAGAGGGTTGTCTACTTTTTGTGATTATCAAATTTATTTGGCTATGGAAATAACACATATTATGAAAACTTCAAAAATTTAGAGGAGGCTAGGTGTGGTGGCTCATTCCTGTCATCCAAGCATTCTGGGAGGCAGAGGCGGGATGATCACTTAAGCCTAGGAGTTTGAGATCAGCCTTGGCAACATAGTAAGACCTCATCTCTACCAAAAAAAAAAAAAATAGCTGGGCATGGTGGTATGAGCCTGTGGTTTCAGCTACTCAGGAGGCTGAAGCAGGAGGATTGCTTGAGCCCAAAAGGTTGAGGCTGCAGTGAGCCACAGTCACGCCACTGCCTTCCAGCCTGGGGAACAAGAACCTGTCTCAAAAAAATGAAAAGAAAGACAATTAAAAATTAAGATGAGCACAAAAAATATAGAAGAAATTAATGAACTGAAACATGTCAAATTGCCACGTTTATAGGTTAAATGTGGCCAAATATTAAAAATTGAGTATTAACCCGCCTAATATATTCCCAATAACTGAGACAGTCACTGTTAAATTTTGTTGCAATTCCATCTACATGAACATAGAGGTATCTATATTACTTTCCTGGCTGCCATAACAAACTATCACAAACTGGGTGGTTTAAACAAAATAAATTTATTGTTTCATAGTTTGGTGCTAGTCTGAAATCAAGGTGTTATCAGGGTTGATTTTTTGCTGGGAACTGTAAGGGAAAGCTCCTTTCCTCTCTAGTAGCTTTTGGTAGCATCAGGCATTCCTTGGCTTATAGATGGTGGTCTCCCTGTGTCCAGATAGTCTTCCCTTGGTGCATTTCTCTCCATTTAGCCCAATTTTCTGATTTTAATTAGGGATACCAGTCAGATTGCATTAGAGTCCACTCTAATAACCCCATCTTACTTTCATCGGCAAAGATCCTATTTCTAAATAACGTTACATACGGGGGTACTGAGAATTAGGACTTCAAATATCCTTTTCTGAGAGACAGAATTCAACCCCTAATGAATAATATGCAATGCAAAACTGTGCGAATGTATGTAAAATGCACAAACACACACACACATATGTACACACACACGGAATTTTATACATAGTTCTTACGAAGTTTGTAAATAGGCTTTGCAAACATGAGAGTTAATTGCTGTGTGTAGTATGTCATATTTTGCTTACCTGTTCTTTATCGCTACATGTAGAGGAGGTTTCCATTTACTTGCTATCATAAATGACGATTTCATGAATATGGTATTAGTTTCATATTGCTGCATAACAAATTATCACTGATTTAGAAGTATGAAACAAAACAAATTTATTTTCTCACAGTTTTTGTAGACTAGAAGTTCAGGCATGGCGTGACTGGTTCTCTGTCCAGAGTCTCACTGGGCTAAAATCAGAGTGTTTGTTGGGGTTGTAGTTTCTCTCTAGGCCTTAGGGTTTCCTTCCAAGCTCAATGGATGGTGGCAAAATTCATTTCCTTGTGGTTGTAGGACTGAGGTTTCCATTTTTTGTCAGGTAGAAAATACTTTCAGCTCTTAGATGCATCGTTAGGTCCTTGCCCCCTTGTTCACAATGCAAATTATTGCTTCCTTCTAGGCCAGCCAGAATGAATCTTTCTGCCCTTTCTGTGCCCCATCAGAGAAAATACTGTTTTTAATGAGCTCACCTGATTAGATTAAGGCCCACCCCCAGTTAATTTCTCTATTGCCATAAAACTTGATCACAAAGTGACATTTCATAATATTAGTAGGCTTCATTTATACTTAAGAGAAGATTATATACATGACTGTGGGTCACCTTAGAATTCTGCCTACTAAAAATCATCTCATTAGTTCATCTTTGTGTTTTTGAGAATAACTGTCCTAAAATAAGTTCTTGGCAGGGAAATTGCTCCCTCAAAGTAAATGCAAATTTTTGTAAGCTTTTAAAACCTGTTGTTAAAGTCTAATTTTCACTTCCACCAGTACACTTGGAGTGCCTGTATGCCAGTGTATGCCAATTAACAGAACTTTATCTCAACATTAAACAATAACAGCAAAATCTTTTGATAAGCAATATGATAAAGATTGGTATCTTACTTTATGTAACTGTAGATTATCAAAATGATAAATAAGAGAAAACATTGAGTTAGGTTTATTGTTCACTAATATGTCTTTCTTTATGTTCATATTCATTTTGTTCTAATTTTCCATTCTCAGTGATATATAAAATCTCTTATAACAATATTGAACTTTTCTCTGATATGTATTTTATGAATTTTTTTTTCCTTTTTTTGAGACGGAGTCTCGCTCTGTCACCACGCTGGAGTGCGGTGGCGCGGTCTCGGCTAATGGCAACCTCTGCCTCCCGGGTTCAAGCGATTCTCCCGTCTCAGCCTCCCGATGTGATGGGATTACAGGCGTAAGCCACTGTGCCTAGCCTTTATGAATATTTTTACAAGTTTGTTTTTTGCCCTGTATTTTCCCTTCCTCATTTATTTTACTTTATTATCTTTCATATTCTCTCTTCCCTCTCCCTCTCTGATTATTCCCATGAATCTACTCTCTAATCTAATGGCTTATTTTTAGGTACTTTGGAAAAAAACAAAAACAAACATAATTTTTGAACTGCACATATATACAGATACATTCTCAATATGAGGCATTCAAGTAATATAGAACTGTAGACTATAATATTTCTTAAAATAACATCTTTCTCCTGGCAACTATTTAGTCTTTTTTCCAGAGTAATTACAATTAACAGAGTGATACGTAACCATTCTATCCTTTCTGTAAGCATTTATCTATCTATAATATTCATGTGGACCTTTTTTTTAGGTTAGAAAGACATTGAAACCAATTTTTAAGTTACTGGCTTTTTTAGTTAACCATATTGGGGAATCTGTCTACACGAATAGTTAAATTGGCTCCTTCATGATAACAATATAATATTTCATAATATAGGTAAATCATAACTCATTAAGGAGTTGCCAGACAATAAGGTTGTATTTATTCTTCTATTAGTCAAACAATAAACGTGAAGATACATTTTTATATTTTATTATTTTTAATATATTGCTGTGGTATTTTTGTGATTTCTTCATGATTTTCAAAGATATGTGTATAATTTATTTAGTGGGTACATGTGCTTACCTGAATTATTTTAATATCAGGTTACTCTAGGTTTGTAGGTAGATGTGAAAAGCACCTTTTTTCTATGTTCTGAGACAGTTTATACAACATGAATTTACATATTTCTTAAAATTTTTATAGTACACATGATACTAGAGCTCAGGCTTGGTGACTGTAGGAGTCAAAATTTTTACTATATTCTCTGACAATTTGTGCTTTCCAATTTTCCCCCTTTCCTCAAAACAATATTGTAAGTTTATATTTTCTTTGAAAAAGCATTCACTTAGTATAGGTTTATAAGCATACTGCTGTATAAAGTTAAATTCTCCTATGAATCTTTCATTTAATCCACATTTTCACCAGCTCATCTTTCATGTAATTAATGTTATTTATTTCTTTTTGGGGTTTCTCTTTGTTTTTAGTCACACTGGCTAAAAGTTTTCTACTCATTGTTCAAGGGATAAATACAACAACTAAAAATCTAGGTTTTGTTAAGTATTTTTAAATTAATGTTAAATTAATGTGTTACCACTTTTATTAATATAATTTTAATTCTTATTTTATTCATTTTGTAGCTACTTAAAGATTTAGTTTACTTAATTTTTAATATTTTCTTATAGATGCATTAAAAACTTTGAATTTTCTCTGAGAATGTTTGATTAAACCAGAGTTTTTGCTATGTAGTATTTGCATGGCTATATATCTAGATTATCATTTAAATTTATATTTTCTCTTTAACTCATTAACTTCTTAACAGTATTTTCTAAAATTCCCAATGAAAATATTTCTGTTAGCTGTGAAATTTTGTTAGATATCAAATTATATTAAATTTGGATTTTAAAATTTGTTCTAAATGATGATTTCTGGTTTGGGGGAATTATTAAAATTTCTTTGAGGCTTAAAAACTGGTTAATTTCTGTGAGTAGTCCATGGTACCCTCACAAAATATATTCTATTTCCTTGGGCCATGGTTCTAGATATATATTTATGAGATCAAATTTCTTAATAATGTATTATAAACATTAAAAATCCTAATTTTTTGTTCACTGTTCCATCACTTTCTGAAAGAAAGATACTCAAATTTTTCTCTTGGACATTGATTTGTCATGTCTTTGAGATATTTGTCAGATAAATTAGTGATGGTAAAATAGAAAACAAAGCAAACAAAAATGAGAAGCAATTATGATTTCTATAAAAAGAAAGCAGTTGGCTGGGCGTGGTGGCTCACACCTGTAATCCTAGCACTTTGGGAGGCTGAGGCAGGCAGAACATGAGGTTAGGAGTTGAAGACCATCCTGACCAACATTGTGAAACCCCATCTCTACTAAAGTTTCTACTACTAGCCAGGTGTAGTGGCAGGTGCCTGTAGTCCCAGCTACTCAGGAGGCTGAGGGGCAGGAGAATCGCTTGAACCCTGGAAGGCGGAGGTTGCAGTGAGCTGAGATCGTGGCACTGCACCCCAGCCTGGGTGACAGAGCAAGACTACATCTCAAAAAAAAAAGGCAGTTATAGAAATATATGGAGTCCTAATATTATATGTAAGCATATTATTAAAGTTACAAGTATGGATTTAACAAATATGCTTATAATTCAAAATTAAATAGTGGCAAATCTGGAATGTTGAGTGTGTTGCTGGAAAAGTTTTATGATGGTAAAGTGTCTTTTTTCATTAAATTTTGTTATAATTTCAAACATAACAGGAAAATTACAGTAAGAGCAAAAAAATGCTTGTATACTCTTCATCTGGACTCATCAATTCTTAACTGTTAGATCTTCTAAATCATTTCTTCTATTTTCCTTTCTTTCTGTATATATAAGGTAGTGCAAAGTATACACATACACACACAAGTGCCTACAAGTTTTTCCTGAACCATGAGAGAAAATGTGCAGACATTCAGAGCCTTACCCCTAAATACTTCAGCATTTCCTATGAATATTCAATTATATAACCTTGGTAAATTATCACAATTAAGATATTAAACTCCATGTAAAACAATTTGCTAATCCACAAGCTTTACTGAAATTTCATAAATTATCTCAATAAAATTATTTTTAGCTATTTCTCCATTTCTACTTTTCCCCCTCCAGAATCCATTCCTAAATTATAGTTAGTAGTTGTACCTTCTGAACGGTTTATCAGTCTATCTTTCTTTTATGACCTTTACTTTTTGATGATTATAAATCGTTTACCTTGTAATTTTGCCTCAATTTTGGTTTATCTGACATTTCCACATGATTTGACTCAGATTATGCACTCTTAGAAGTACTGTGTTAATTTATTATCAATCAGTTTTTTAAGTGCCCTTAAGCCGTTGTACTTTAACCTATAGATTGTAGTGGTTTCAGACCATATTTCCAAATTATATGATATTTCTCTTACCAAGAAGTTATGTCTATGACACTCTCTTAAACACAGACAGAATTTTATGATCATTTCAACCAATAGAGACAGAAATAATAGAGTAGAAATGATGCTTTCATGGCTAGGTAGGAAAACAGCTTATAGCTTCTGCCAGTTTTTCTTGATGTTCTTTTTCTGGGAGTCTATGGTTGTCACACAAGCAGTGTGGTTACCTCGAGGCCATGACAAAGAGAAACTAGTAAGACCAGGGGGAGGGCAAGGAGCTCAGCTGTTTCTGCCCCTAGTTTTTAGTCTTTTCAGTCCAAATACCAGGTAGGTGAGATAACATCAGTGCCAGCCATCATAAGGCTATGAGTGTATGAGAGAACACACCACCTAGCTGGATCCAGAGAACACAAGATTTGTATGCAAAATACATGATTAATTAATCAGCCATTTAAGCATAACTGGCTATACAATGGTTATAATTACCCTGTAATTCACAGGGCGATTGGCATGACCACATCAATTATTAGTAGGCAAATGTCAGGAAATTAGATATTTTTTCTTACGGAAGCATGTTTTTTCCTTAAAACCATTTATTTATTCATGAAGGCACTCATGCATTCTATAAACCCTTATGATCACCAACTGGAGGTTAAATAAGCAAAAAGGTTCCTACCTATAAGGAGTCGGTTGAACAATTTTGCCAATAAAGAATAACAAATGCCGTTTGAAGTAAAACCTCTGGTAAAGAAAAAAAGTTTGAAGAATACTAGCGTTTTTTTTCTTTATTTAACTGAGTTTTAATATAATTTATCATGTAATTTTCTGACTATAGAAACAATGTATGTTCATTATCAGAATATTTTTAAAGGATTGCACAAATAAAAAATATTAGCCATAATCTTGCCACAAAGTGATAATCATTGGTATAGTGCCATAAAGCATCTTTCCTTTGTAGTGATTTATACATATAGAAAATCTGTACATAGCTATTTGTTTATTTAATAGTTTATAAAGTTGTTGAGTATTCTTCATGAACATAATGAACAATTCCAAAACAAAGTTACCTGTATTAAGATAATTTTATCTTGTAGAGTTTAAATAACTTCTAGAAATTCAGTATAGCTAGCTCTGTCTCTCTCAATATGTGTGTGTGTGTTAAAAACTGCCTTTCATGTGAGAATATGTTCTTTTTTTGCATTAATTTTGACCTTTCTCAGTATTACTGTTGTTTGTAGTCATTTTTGTTTAGAAATTCTTTTGTCAGGAGGTACTTTACTAAAATTTGGTACATAAAAATAGGCATGATATGAAGAATTTTCAAGTGATGTAATTTACATTTTTATATGAGATGTTTTCGGACATACAGTTACTTCAGTATTAAATTATGTAAATATTACTTCTTGAAGTAGAATATGTCTCACAGTTACACAGTAAGTGGTTTCTTTTATAAGTTGGAAAATTAGAAAAAAATCAACTTTACCTCTTTATTGGCATCATCTTTGACATTCCATTCACTACTCTTTCTTCACCTTTATTAAAATGCCTTACAAATGTTTGTCATAACTGTCACAAAGAAGTATAAACTAGGTAACACTCCAAGACCTCATCCCATGTTAATAGTATTATTATGCTCATGAGGAATAATGCAACTCAACATTTATGAAGAATTTTCTTTTTTTTTTTTTTTCTTTTAGCTGGAGTCTCGCTCTGTCGCCAGAGCTGGAGTGCAGTGGCGCAATCTCAGCTTACTGCAAGCTCCACCTCCCGGGTTCACGCCATTCTCCTGCCTCAGCCTCCTGAGTAGCTGGGACTCAGGCGCCCGCCACCACGCCCGGCTAATGTTTTTTTGTATTTTTAGTAGAGACGGGGTTTCACCGTGTTAGCCAGGATGGTCTTGATCTCCTGACCTCTTGATCTGCCCGCCTCAGCCTCCCAAAGTGCTGGGATTACAGGAGTGAGTCACCGCGCCCTGCCTATAAAGAATTTTCTTATAAATATCTCAAACTTCATAAATATCTGAAAGCAGACAATCATGTACTTATAATATGAGAATATTTGGGAAAAGAAGGTTAAATGTCTCTTTTACCATTATATGAGTCAGAATCATATGTCTAGAGCAATGAAATCTTCATAATGAATCCAATGAATGATTCACTTTTGATTTTTTCCCTTTCTCAAGCATTTTACCAAAGTTGATTATGTATATTTGTTATTCTTTATTGACAGCCCATCCACAACTCAAAATAGATTTTAGGGTTATAAATACGATATATGTCTCTATGCCTCAACTGAAGTAACAGGGCAGACGTGATGCTTCCACGACTGGGTTGGAAAATGCCTTGTAGCCCCTGCCGGTTTCTCTTGATTCTCTTTTTTCTGAGATTCTATAGCTGTTACACAAGAAGTGTAGCTACCCTGAGAATTTAGGATCCCCAAATGATTTTTACTTCCTAGTATAGTTTTTCAATATTAATATTTCAAACTTGTTAACTGTAACTGTCTAATATCTTAACACATTTTCTATTTTAGCAGAAACATTAAAAGATTTAAAAATATACTTTTGTGATAAGAATAGCAAGCTGTATTTCTTTTAGAGTATTTAAGCAAATGGAGACAGATTAACCTTAGTCATCTCAACAATATGCCTGTTGCACTATTAATAATGTAAATTTAATTTTTCAGTAACAACAATCATAGCAATAAAAGAGAACTAAAAAAAGAGAATTAAAAAATCACTAGCATTTAAGCAGCCTTATTTCTGACAGCATTCTAATAAGTTTATTTTTTCATTTATTATTACACTTATTATTTACATTCATCTTTAAAAAGACCTACGATTTTGGTTCTAATGTAATCCAAATATTACAGATGAAAAAGCTTGTGGATATTTATAGATGAAAAGCATCTGTCATTTACCAAGGTCACATATCTAATTCTCAGTGATCTTACTCATCTCCACGCCGTCTGATGTCAAGAACTTTAAAACTCTGACTCTTAATATTCCACACCTTTACTATTTCATACTGCTGTTTCTTGGTTTCTGTTAAATTAGAAAATGGTCTTCTGGTGAATTTCCCATGAAGTCAATTTCAGATCCATGATTACATACAGGACTGATGTTCCCAGAGAGGATTCAATATTGTGATTTGTCTAAAATCGTTCTGCTTTAAGTTGTTTAAGCACCTTATTGAAATCTTAATGCTTCTGTTTTATTTGTTGATTCAAACACGAGACTGCTCCAGTGTCTGATTTTCAATGTTTCATTGCTCGGATAATGATGTGTTCATTTCAATCTCCCAATTGCTTAGTGTTCAGCCTGGGTTTTAGCAGTGAGATATACCTAAAACTTTCTATTAGTCTGGTGGCAAAGAGAAATGGTAAACAGTATTTAGTTTTCCAAAGAAATTTAGCTACTTCTTAAAGGCTAGTTGATGTAAAATAATATTCTGATGAATGAATTGGTAAGTGATTATTTCTAGTTGTTTACTCACTAAATGTGATTAGAGATTTAAAAAACAATAAAATTTTACACAGAAAATAACTACTAATAAAAGAGTTCAGGAAGCTGACATGCTGATGCTGCATCCTGTAGGCTCATATAGAAATTTCTCCCATCCAGTAAATGTACATCTTTTTTATTCAGAGCTGCCTGGCACAGGTAAATGATTGCACTAACCCTGAGAATATGACATGAGCTATAGTTAGCAATTGCAGTGTAAGAGAACCCAGACCATTATTTTAACTGCATTAAAATATACATTTATATCAATTCAGGTAGGCTGAAATCAGGAATTGGTTTGCAAACATATTTTTCCATGCATATATAATTTCCTTGCTCATCATCTTTTCATATCATAATGTTCTACTACTTCTCTGGATATTAGTGTATTTAAAATGGTTAAATATAAGTATAAATCTCCAGAATGTATTAGCTTTGTAATAATTCTTATGAATATAGTTTATATCTCCAGAGAATATGCATTCCTAAAAGCATATTGCACATTAAAATATAAAAAATTCATACATTCTCATCATGATCAGCCTCACAATAGAAATAATCTCCTATCTTAATTCCTCTTACTCTTGGTTCTTACCCTCTTCACTCCATCCCAATTCTTTTAAATCCTAAGATGACAAAAATGCCATTTTAATACTGTCAACTGCAAGTAAAAAAATTAACTCTGCCTAATTAAGTCATATATAGAATTTTTATGGCTCATAAAACTGGGATGCTCCATTATGATGCTAATTTCAAGCACAGCTGGATCCAGGAATGACTCGTCCAGAAATTATTTATCTTTTGACTCTGCTCCCTTGTATATAATGACTTTACTGAAAGGTAGACTGTATACATATGGTGGGGAAAATTGCAGCTGGTAACCTTCACTGTATCTTAGGCTACAATTCAAAAGAAAAATCAGGTCATATAAGAAAACTTAATTGATACCACTTGAGTAAAATTCTCACTTCCAAAGCAAACAAAATTACAGGAAATATATTAACTAGCTTTTTGGATTAAACAGCTTGGATCACTTCAGTGCCTTACAGAATGTGTTAGTCCACTCTCACGCTGCTGATAAAGACCTACCCAAGACTGAGCAATTTACAAAAGAAAGAGGTTTAATGGACTTATAGTTCCACATGGCTGGAGAGGCCACACAATCATCCTGGAAGGCAAGGAGGAGCAAGTCACGTCTTACGTGGATGGCAGCAGGCAAAGAAAGAGCTTGTGCAAGGAAACTCTCCCTTATAAAACTATCATATCTAATGAGACTTATTCACTATCATGAGAAAGCAGGAGAAAGACCCACACCCATAATTCAGTAACCAGCCCCTGGGTCCCTCCCATGACATGTGTGAATTGTGGAAGTTACAATTCAAGATGAGATTTGGGTGGGGACACAGCCAAACCGTATCAGGGGATATGTGGTGGGAAATCATTGTTAACACCACACACTTCCCTACACCTACTCTCACCCCCAACTCTGCCCAGGACCACGTGGGATTTCCTTAGAGGAAAAGATGCCAAGCATCCAAAGAGCATAGACCTTTTATGGGTAGGATGACCATACATACCACTTTGTCTGAAATTCTTTTTGTTTATTCATGTTTTTGGCCCAGGACAATTAACAGTAAGACTTACTTTAAACCTCCAAAGTATTGGGTTGGTGTAAAATTAATTGCAGTTTTGCCATTAAAGTGATGACAAAACCACAATTACTTTTGCACTGACCTGATATCTAAATTTAGATGCCAATTATACACTCTATGGATAAAAGCACATGTCTTCTCTCCCTAAGAAAGGAAGTGGGTGCATTTGGACCAACTAAGAGGAGTTGAAAAGTCGTCTTTTCTTCAGTGTTGTTTTTTTTTGGGGGGGGGGATGGAGTTTCACTCTTGTTGCCCAGGCTGGAGTGCAATGGCATGATCTCGGCTCACCACAATCTCTGCCTCCCAGGTTCAAGTGATTCTCCTGCCTCAGCCCCTCAAGTAGCTGGGATTAGAGGCATGTGCCACCACGCCCAGCTAATTTTGTACTTCTAGTAGAGACGGGGTTTCTCCATGTTGGTCATGCTGGTCTCGAACTCCTGACCTCAGGTCATCTGTCCGCCTCAGCCTCCCAAAGTGCTGGGATTACAGGCGTGAGCCACCGCACCTGGCCCAGTACTATCTATTAATAAAGGAAGGGGTGCACAGCACATTTCTTCTATCCTCTCAATGTAGAGAAGGGTTTTAGAGAGAATGAAAAGAATAGATACATAGGTTTTGTTGTTGTTGTTTGTTTGCTTTTTAGTAATGCATTAGCTGGACAAGTGTTATCTCTCTGGCAGGAACCCTGGCTACTCAAAAATTGAATGTAAGTTTTCCTCACAGGAAGCATTTCATTTATGATTTCTCCAAAGAAGAGGAAAATTATATATGTTGAAATAAATAATGTGGACAAAATGATATGGAGACAAGAGCACAGCACAGAAAGGGCTATGTCATATCTCTCATCTTCACTCACAGTAGGATAACCTTATAAGCTAGGGGAAGAAAAGAATATATCGATTGTAAGTATAGGAAAATATGTGTATATAACCATGGAGAAATACAGAGCATAATATATAATGGCACATTAAATCTCAGCTACCATAATTTTTCAAATATCATATTTCTATGTGTTCTGAAAACTGGTAATTATTAAAAAAGTTTATTAAGATGAATGTTAAATATAAAGATAAATTACGAATGAAATTTAAAACAAAAATGTTATAATTCAAGATGCTTTTAACTTTAAGTAACCACCAGAACAACAAACTGACTAATGGACAAACAATACAGATTAATTTTTTTCCCCAAAATCAGAAACTTAAGAGTTGGTGATTCCAGATTTCTTTCAGCAGCTTGATGATGCCATCAAGGAGCCAGAATCTTTCTGTCTTCATGTTATTTCCAGTCTAACTACATTGTTCTTTTTGTGGACACAGTGGTAGTAACAGCTATCTCATCCTTACACCAGCAGTCCCCAACCTTTTTGGCACCAGGGACTGGTTTTTTGGAAGAAAATTTTTTCACATATGGGAGGAAGGAGTAGTTGTGTGGGGATAAAACTGTTCTACCTCAGATCATCAGGCATTAGATTCACATAAGGAGTACACAACATAATTCCCCTGCATATGAGGTTCACAATAGGGTTCACGCTCCTATGAGAATTCAGTGTGGCTGCTGGTGCGACAGGAGACAGAGCTCAGGAGGTAACGCTCCCTTACCCACCGCTCACCTCCTGCTGTGCAGCCCAGTTCCTAACAGGCCATGGACCTGTACCAGTCCCCAGCCTGGGTGTTGGAGACCTCTGCCTTACACAGTAAAGTTTTTTAAGTATGAAAGGGAAACTGTTAGTGAAATCAGTTTTTATCTCAAAGTGAAATTCACCCCCAACCACAATGTCTCTGTGAAAGAGAGAGAGAAAGAGAGCAAGAGATTCCCTTCTGATGCTATTTTGATGCATGGAACCCATTCATTGATTTGGTCTTCTTACTGTACCATGCAATCTGTACCATGTAAAGTTGGCAAACTATTATAAGCATGATATGGTTTGGCTGTGTCCACACCCAAATCTCATCTTGATTTCCCACATGTTGTAGGAGGCACCTGGTGGGAGGCAATTGAATTATGGTGGAGGTTCTTTCCTGCACTATTCTGGTGATAGTGAATGAGTCTCTCAAGATTTGATGATTTTCAAAAGGGGAGTTTCCCTGTACAAACTCTCTCTTTGCCTGCTGCCATCTGTGCAAGAAGGGACTTGCTCCTCCTTGCCTTCTGCTATGATTGTGAGGCTACCCTAGCCACATGGAACTGTAAGTCCAATTAAACCTGTTTCTTTTGTAAATTGCCCAGTCTTGGGTATGTCATTATCAACAGAATGAAAATGGACTAATACCAAGTAGTTCTATTGTGAAGATATAGCTTTGGAGTTAAAAACAAATTCTGCCTGCCCTACCTGGTTAGGGAGAATTTAATTTCAACTGAATATTTTGTATAAAGTAGAAATGTCATGTCGTTAATGAATGAGAGGATCCAGAAGTCCTAAGCCTCTTGAATAGGGCAGCTGACCTTAGATTCTGAGCTTCGTGTTCCAATGGCATTTATCCAAAATGAGACACTAAATGTGTTTAGTGGTTACAAAGAACGAGAAAAGAATACAAAGCTATTTTTGTTTTGTTTTCATCATGAAGCTTAAGAATGTTTTTATTTAATACTTTGCATGAATTTTAATCTTTTTATTTTTTTATTATTATACTTTAAGTTTTAGGGTACATGTGCACAATGTGCAGGTTAGTTACATATGTATACATGTGCCATGCTTGTGTGCTGCACCCATTAACTCGTCATTTAGCATCAGGTATATATCCTAATGCTATCCCTCCCCACTCCCCCCACCCCACAACAGTCCCCAGAGTGTGATGACCCCCTTCCTGTGTCCATGTGTTCTCATTGTTCGATTCCCATCTATGAGTGAGAACATGTGGTGTTTGGTTTCTTGTCCTTGCGATAGTTTACTGAGAATGATATTTCCAATTTCATCCATGTCTCTACAAAGGACATGAACTCATCATTTTTATGGCTGTATATAGTATTCCATGGTGTATATGTGCCACATTTTCTTAATCCAGTCTATCATTGTTGGACATTTGGGTTGGTTCCAAGTCTTTGCTATTGTGAATAGTGCCGCAATAAACATACATGTGCATGTGTCTTTATAGCAGCATGATTTAGAGTCCTTTGGGTATATACCCAGTAATGGGATGGCTGGGTCAAATGGTATTTCCAGTTCTAGATCCCTGAGGAATCGCCACACTGACTTCCACAATGGTTGAACTAGTTTACAGTCCCACCAACAGTGTAAAAGAAGTGTTCCTATTTCTCCATATCCTCTCTAGCACCTGTTGTTTCCTGACTTTTTAATGATTGCCATTCTAACTGGTGTGAGATGGTATCTCATTGTGGTTTCGATTTGCATTTCTCTGATGGCCAGTGATGATGAGCATTTTTTCATGTGTCTTTTGGCTGCATAAATGTCTTCTTTTGAGAAGTGTCTGTTCATATCCTTTGCCCACTTTTTGATGGGGTTGTTTGTCTTTTTCTTGTCAATTTGTTTGAGTTCATTGTAGATTCTGGATATTAGCCCTTTGTCAGATGAACAGGTTGCGAAAATTTTCTCCCATTCTGTAGGTTGCCTGTTCACTCTGATGGTAGTTTCCTTTCCTGTGCAGAAGCTCTTTAGTTTAATGAGATCCCATTTGTCAATTTTGTCTTTTGTTGCCATTGCTTTTGGTGTTTTAGACATGAAGTCCTTGCCCATGCCTATGTCCTGAATGGTAATGCCTAGGTTTTCTTCTAGGGTTTTTATGGTTTTAGGTCTAACGTTTAAGTCTTTAATCCTTGAATTAATTTTTGTATAAGGTGTAAGGAATTTTAATCTTTAGCATAAGGGCCTCCCATGCAATGCCTTTTCACTAAAAGCTGCAAAACGCTTTTTAATTTATAGAATGTTTCAAGGTTTGTATATTAAGAAATGGGAAAAATTTGTATAATGCTTATAACTGAGCATGATTTTAAAAGCCACAAATTGATGAAAAAAGAGATGTATATTTACATATAATACTCATGCTTGAAAACATAAATGTTCATGAAGTTTCTGAAAATTGATTTTGTAATTTTCCAAGACCTGCTTTAAGGTTGTGACTGGAGACAGGTCTCTTAAAGAGGTAATTAAGGTAAGTTAGGTAAAATGAGGTCATGAAGGTGGGCCTCAATCTAACATGGCTGGTGTCCTTATAAAAAAGAGGAAATGGGGACACAAACATGCATGGAGGGAAGACCATGCAAAGACACAAGGAGGAGACAGTCTCTCACAAGTCAAGGAGACGGCTTCAGAGGATACCAATCCTGTCATCCTGCCCACACATGGATTTTGGACATCTGGCCTCCAGAACTGTGAGAAAATGAATTTCTGTTGTTCAAGCCACTTATCTGTGGTGCTTTCTTATGGCAACCCTGAAAATCTACTAGAGGGGGCAGGGAGGTAAACAAGGAAAGAATTTACTAAAGCAACCAAGGAACTGTTAAACACATCAAGTGGTTAAAGACAAAATGAGTGGCTTGAATATGTTGGTAACTGGTAACATTAGAACAGCATTTGGTAGGGAAGTAGAAACATCAGCACCATGTTCTTAACACCCTCAAAAAACCCAGAGGAAAAGATAGTCAGAGAAAATTGCTTGAAAATGACTGCACTTGAATATTTTGAGGCCATGGCTTTAAACCCCCCACTACAAAGTATATATGAGATAGATGTGTCAGGGAGGATTTTGTTGTCTCAGGGTGAAGATAGTCTAAAAAGAACACAGGCAAGATGTCTTGCTCATTCTAGAACTCTCCCAAATAATGAAAAAGACACATGTTAAAAATTAAAAGAAAATGAAAGATGGACTGAACTAAGACAGGAGCTTTATGTTGTGGAGGTAACTAGATGAATGACAATTCACAGCTCTTAATAATTATCATTACAACATTATGCGTGTATTTTAATAATCATTTAATTTATTAATTTCTGTATTCTATTGTAAATACAATTCATATTCTCACTATTTTAGATTTAATAGAGAGTCTAGTCATAGCTTCTTTAGAAAGGAACAATGTATCTACCTATAACTAAACACTTTCAGGAATAAGCTAGTTCTGTTTAAAGTTTAGTTCTGTCCCTGCCTCAGAAGGTCCTACATTCTTCCCAACATTTATATCCAAAGTTCAAAGTAGTCTGCCTGTGTTTAAAATTGTTTTTTCATAAAATAAAGAATTTTTAAAATATCATATAGTTGTATTCTCAGAATGCACTCCTATACATTTTTGAACTGTCAGTTCAGGACAGTGGGTTGCTCTGAAATGCTCAGTGTATCCTTAAGTTCAGTATATTTGAATTGTGTTGGGTTTGGTCCATCAGGGTGCCTGGTGGAGTTGTATTCATTCTCTTTTTTTTAAAAGGTGATCTAGAAATAGCATGCTACTGTAAAAAAAGAACAAAAAAATTTCTTTTTTCTTTTTTACCATAAACTTTTATTTTATGTGTGGTACACATGCAGGTTTGTTACAAAGGTAAACGTGTGTCATGGTGGTTTGCTACACAGATCAACCCATGACCTAGGTATTAAGACCAGCATCCACCAGCTATTCTTCCTGATGCTCTCCCTCTCCCAGCTCCCTCCCCACACTGACAATAATAATTGAGAATTTTGCCTTGAGAAGAGATTTCTGATCACTGTAGAGTAATGTAGACGTGGTGATAGATTGAGGTAAGTTTCATTGTCCAGGTTGGTTCTGGCCATTTGCTTGTTATCTCTTTTTTTTAATTTTGTTATTATTATACTTTAAGTTTTAGGGTTCATGTGCACAATGTGCAGGTTAGTTACATATGTATACATGTGCCATGTTGGTGTGCTGCACCCATTAACTCGTCATTTAACATTAGGTATATCTCCTAATGCTGTCCCTCCCCCCTCCCCACACCCCACAACAGTCCCCAGAGTGTGATGTTCCCCTTCCTGTGTCCATGTGTTCTCATTGTTCGATTCCCATCTATGAGTGAGAACATGTGGTGTTTGTTTTTTTGTCCTTGCGATAGTTTGCTGAGAATTATGGTTTCCAGTTTCATCCATGTCCCTACAAAGGACATGAACTCTTCATTTTTTATGGCTGCATAGTATTCCATGGTGTATATATGCCACATTTTCTCAATCCAGTCTATCATTGTTGGACATTTGGGTTGGTTCCAAGTCTTTGCTATTGTGAATAGTGCCGCAATAAACATACGTGTGCATGTGTCTTTATAGCAGCATGATTTAGAGTCCTTTGGGTATATACCCAGTAATGGGATGGCTGGGTCAAATGGTATTTCCAGTTCTAGATCCCTGAGGAATCGCCACACTGACTTCCACAATGGTTGAACTAGTTTACAGTCCCACCAACAGTGTAAAAGAAGTGTTCCTATTTCTCCATATCCTCTCTAGCACCTGTTGTTTCCTGACTTTTTAATGATTGCCATTCTAACTGGTGTGAGATGGTATCTCATTGTGGTTTCGATTTGCATTTCTCTGATGGCCAGTGATGATGAGCATTTTTTCATGTGTCATTTGGCTGCATAAATGTCTTCTTTTGAGAAGTGTCTGTTCATATCCTTTGCCCACTTTTTGATGGGGTTGTTTGTCTTTTTCTTGTCAATTTGTTTGAGTTCATTGTAGATTCTGGATATTAGCCCTTTGTCAGATGAGTAGGTTGCAAAATTTTCTCCCATTCTGTAGGTTGCCTGTTCACTCTGATGGTAGTTTCTTTTGCTGTGCAGAAGCTCTTTAGTTTAATGAGATCCCATTTGTCAATTTTGGCTTTTGTTGCCATTGCTTTTGGTGTTTTAGACATGAAGTCCTTGCCCATGCCTATGTTCTGAATGGTATTGCCTAGGTTTTCTTCTAGGGTTTTTATGGTTTCAGGTCTAACATGTAAGTCTTTAATCCATCTTGAATTAATTTTTGTATAAGATGTAAGGACGGGATCCAGTTTCAGCTTTCTACATATGGCTAGCCAGTTTTCCCAGCACCATTTGTTAAATAGGGAACGCTTTCCTCATTTCTTGTTTTTGTCAGATTTGTCAAAGATCAGATGGTTGTAGATATGTGGCATTATTTCTGAGGGCTCTGTTCTGTTCCATTTATCTATATCTCTGTTTTGGTACTAGTACCATGCTGTTTTGGTTACTGTAGCCTTGTAGTATAGTTTGAAGTCAGGTAGCGTGATGCTTCTGGCTTTGTTCTTTTGGCTTAGGATTGACTTGGTGATGCAGGCTCTTTTTTGGTTCCATATGAACTTTAAAGTAATTTCTTCCAATTCTGTGAATAAAGTCATTGATAGCTTGATGGGGATGGGATTGAAGTTGAATCTCTGAATAGACCAATAACAGGCTCCAAAATTGTGGCAATAATCAATAGCTTACCAACCAAAAAAAGTCCAGGACCAGATGGATTCACATCCAGATTCTACCAGAGGTACAAGGAGGAGCTGGTACCATTCCTTCTGAAACTATTCCAATAAATAGAAAAAGCGGGAATCCTCCCTAACTCATTTTATGAAGCCAGCATCATCCTGATACCAAAGCCTGGCAGAGACACAACCAAAAAAGAGAATTTTTGACCAATATCCTTGATGAACATTGATGCAAAATCCTCAATAAAATACTGGCAAACCGAATCCAGCAGCACATCAAAACACTTATCCACCATGATCAAGTGGGCTTCATCCCTGGGATGCAAGGCTGGTTCAATATACGCAAATCAATAAATGTAATCCAGCATATAAACAGAACCAAAGACAAATACCACATGATAATCTCAATAGATGCAGAGAAGGCCTTTGACAAAATTCAACAACTACTTCATGCTAAAAACTCTCAATAAATTAGGTATTGATGGGACATATCTCAAAATAATAAGAGCTATCTATGACAAACCCACAGCCAGTATCATACTGAATGGGCAAAAACTGGAAGCATTCCCTTTGAAAACCGGCACAAGACAGGGATGCCCTCTCTCACCACTCCTATTCAACATAGTGTTGGAAGTTCTGGCCAGGGCAATCAGGCGGGAGAAGGAAATAAAGGGTATTCAATTAGGAAAAGAGGAAGTCAAATTGTCCCTGTTGCAGATGACATGATTGTGTATCTGGAAAACCCCATCGTCTCAGCCCAAAATCTCCTCAAGCTGATAGGCAACTTCAGCAAAGTCTCAGGATACAACATCCATGTGCAAAAATCACCAGCATTCTTATACACCAGTAACAGACAAACAGAGAGCCAAATCATGAGTGAACTCCCATTCACAATTGCTACAAAGAGAATAAAATACCTAGGAATCCAACTTACAAGGGATGTGAAGGACCTCTTCAAGGAGAACTACAAACCACTGCTCAATGAAATAAAAGAGGATACAAACAAATGGAAGAACATTCCATGCTCATGGGTAGGAAGAACCAATATCGTGAAAATGGCCATACTGCCCAAGGTAATTTACAGATTCAATGCCATCCCCATCATGCTTGTTATCTCTTAAAAATAGTCCCCTTAATAAAAATCTAATTTCTTTTATATTGAATGTTCTTAAAAGTGGAATATAGAAGAGAAAAATTATCTTAACCAAAGTTCTCAGTGTAGTTTGAATTTATTAAATTCCCTTCTTCATTTTTTCTTAGATGTTTTTTGACATATGAAATAGGTTGGGGATCCTCACATGGCATGTGGAGCAGTTGTTTTTAATGCTTTTCATCTCATCCCAGCTGTGCTGGACAGTTCCCAAGTATATTGACTATACCACACTTCAATATTTTGTACTTTTGTGCCTTAGGGCTCTTTTTTTTTTTTTTTGGAAGCTAGGGTATCTTACTGAGTATACGCACAAGATAGCCACTCATAAATCAGCCCAGAAGTTTGCCCGTATTAGCCTATGAGCTATCCATGGCTAGTAGGGAATAAGAATCAGTGAATAATTGCTTTGTTCATCAGTGGTTCTGAGGTAGTTTCTGATTTGTCTTCTTTACAGATTTTTCAATTAGTCCTCATTTTGTACATAATTATGTATTGCATATAACAATCTACCCTCAAAATTCTGTTGTTTAAACAACAAGCATTTAGGCCAGGTGTGGTGGCTCACGCCTGTAATCCCAACACTTTGGGAGGCCAAGGCAGGCGGATCACGAGGTGAAGAGATCGAGATCATGCTGGCCAACATGGGTAAACCCTGTGTTTACTAAAAATACAAAAATTAGCTGGGCTTGGTGGCGCACACCTGTAGTCCCAGCTACTTGGGAGGCTGAGGCAGGAGAATTGCTTGAACTCGGGAGGCGGAGGTTGAAGTGAGTTGAGATCACACCACTGCTCTCCAGCCTGGATGTCAGAGCACGACTCTATCTCAAACAAACAAACAAAGAAACAAACACAAGCATTTGTCATCTCACCATTTCTGTGAGTCAAGAATTTAAGAGCAGCTTGTCTGGGTGGTGCTGGCTTAGTATATTTCAGGAGGTTGCACTCAAGATGCGAGCTGGATTACAATCATATAAAGACCCACATGGGGTTGAAAGATCCCCTTCTATATTTACTTATGTGGCTATTGGTCAAGGCTCCAGTTCTTTTCCACATGGGCCTCTTTATAGTGATACATGAGTTTCTTTATGATAGACTGTCTAGCTTGCCTGCACAAGAGATCCAAACAGAGTAGGAGGAAGCCAACTTTCCAATGATGGGGGTTAAAAGGGGGCTTAGGCTCCATTTTTTTTTTTTTTTTTTGCTGAGAAAAGTATGAAAGAATGTGAAAACTACTGCAGTCAGACTGAGTCCCAGTTGCTCAATGTGACAAACTGCTAAATAATGCATTCTTATTTAACTTTTATTTTTCCCTGTTTTGTTCTTTCCACTCCTTCATTTCTGCTTACTTGGATCACCTTCTAAATAAACAACCTGCACCCAGCTCTGTCTTAATTTCTGCATATGGATCATTTCAAATTAATGAAGTTTAAATACTGTCAATATCAATATATAAAGCAATGTTTTACTAAAAAGTGATACGAAATAATATCATCTATAAAAAGGAACTACTTTGAGTTTCATTCATTCATAACTACGGAGACAGGTGTAGTTAATGTCCTTTTTACCTAAATCTTTGTATATGTCTACATACAATTTCAACAGTTATTTAGACAATATTCTAGTTTTTAAAGTGGTTTCAGGAAACTTTGGTTTATGTTACAATAATTGCTAAGAATAACTCCTCTTAATCTGTATGCATAATTGATAGTGACAATAGAATTACTCAGGATAAAAGTAAAAATGTTAAATTAAAATGACCTTCAAGATACATAATATAAACAACACTAAAATTACTTATTTTATAATTCAGTTTGGATTATGCTTTATGCAGTTTGACTATAATAAAATTAAATTACACATTTGAAAATACATTTAATAATTAGATTCCAATCTATCACAGTCTCTGCAACAAAGCAATGAAATGAGTTTAAAATACCTGTATTTTTAAAAATTTAGAGCATATAATGTGATCAATTGAATAGTAATAAAAATACTGAAATGAGAAGCAGTATAATATTGAACTCATAATCAAGACCATTCTGCTCAGATCATTGGCTTTGCCTATTCACTGAATATCCCCTACTTATCAACCTGATGCTCCTATTGTGTTTCCCAGAAACATAGAAGTTTACAATATCATCTATAAAAATAACATTTTAAAAAAGAAAATATGTCAAATTTGTAAGCCCATGGCCATTCATCTGAAGGATGAATCCAGTTAGATATTCTGGTATATCATCCAGGACAGAGAAGAGGTCAGGACACAGGGGTAAGTGAAGTGTAAAATGGTTTGGTTTGGTTTGGTTTATGGTTATTCCTCAGAACTATAGTTTCTTATGTAAAAACAAGGCAAAAATTCCAAACCGTCAAAATTTTTGGCTACAGCACAGGTAAATAAAATTAAGCAGAAGTAATATCCGAGGTGTGTAGATTTCTAACTGGAGGCTTCCTATTCATGATTAAGTATGATCAGTTACTAATAGAGTACTATTCACAGAGATATATACTTTAATTTTTTGCATATCTTAAGAAAATAAGTTATATGTAGTTGTGGTCACTAATTATTAAAAAAGAAGATAAATCACGGAAAAGAACTGTGGTGATTCTGAAATTGTATGAAGTCATTTACATATCTGATACTTTTCAACTATTCTAACTTGAGAAATCTTGGCTTCAGTGAAGTTTATAAATAAACACTCAGCTTCTGAGCATTTAGAGTTAATATTTTAAAGTTGATGCTTTGCAGATATAAAAAGTCATAACATCGTTCCTTCCTTGACAATTATTAAACTACATCCTATCAATTATATTATCAAAGCCCAGCAAATGGGATATTAGAAATTATAAATGTAATATAAATAGAATATAAATTTAATTGTTTTTTAATGTAAATATTTCAAAGGCAAATAAGAATTTAGTGAATGTATGTAACTTGAATTAAGTCTCATTTAAATTAAAATATTATCCATCTCAAAAAATAAAAAAAGGTTTCTGAATAGAATAGATTGTGGGGGATGAAAATTCAGTTTTTGTACCCTTCTTATTCTTTCTTACTTCGGTTGTATGATACCAGACACATTTGTTAATAAACAAATAAAGCAATTCTGGAGAATTGCTTTGTTATGTGCCTCATAATTTATCTTAATAAATGAACCAAGTGCTGTTTTTGGAGTGGTAAAATCTATAAAACTCCCATGGAAAAGACCAACAAGGAGACATGGGCTCTGCATTATCGTTAACGAACAGAAACAAGTGAAGAAAATAATGGAAAATAAATACTACTATGATGGGCTTAATAAATGTGAAATAAAAGCAGCTGTATCAAAGGAACAGTATCAGCAACAATAGTGAGGGCCTAAAGGAGGATTTTCAGGAAGGTCTTGGGTAATAAGTGGTAACTAGCAGAATGATTATGGGAAAGTATCTAGGCCAGGTGGTTATCCAAACAGCTGCAAACCATACAAAATGATTTCATTTACTTCTTATCTGCAACAACAGGTTGTAAGACAGTACTTTCCAATTTGAAGAATCATTTGAGAGTGGCTCCTGTCACCTGTTAATAGCAGTTAAACTAACTCTTTTGTATCAATTAGCTAAATGGAGGCATGATGTTGGGTCCCTCTAATGTTAAGTTCTGAGTTCTCATTTTTAACAGTTGCTTTCATTGTTATATTTTTAGTTGCTATGCTGCAAAATCAACTTGTCTTTTATGCCCCTTCTCCTAGTATTGCAGAGCAATTCTTATGTTAAAAGCCTGGTGTGACAGTGTCATTATGTAGTAGTGTTTAACAGTTTTTAGTAAATCCTTTTGTATAAACAAGTTGGGTAAGTAATTTCAATCCGTCAGACATTCTATTAAAATGCTTATAAAGTGAATAAATACGTATGGGATAAAACTGCTTATAATACCAATATAAGTAGCACAATTTCCCCATGTTATAAATTTTTACAGATCATTGTGTAAATATTTTTGTGAAACATGGGGTTATAAATTGTTATGCACTTCTATTTTATAAGTGTTTTCAAAATCTTTCCTCCATTCAAGCTAAGAATGTAAACATCACATAACCTTGAAGGAACAAAGAGTAAAAGTTTAACATTAAAAGTTTAAAATTGAAATCATGGGCCCTTTGCAAATAACAAGAAGATGACTGCATTAACACACTCTGAAATTAGCAAGTGGAGTTCATTCCAGGAAAGCAAACCTTAGCATTCATAAAACATTCAGTATAGTTCACTATTTTAACACTTGATCAAGAAAAATACACATGACTGTATCAATCATTATCATATCATGTATCATTTAATCAATATGATTATATATCAACAGATGAATAAGTAAAACCATATAATGATCTTAATGGATGCACAAAAATCACTTGACAAAACTTAATTTCCACTCATAAAAACTGTCAAAAACACTAAGAATAGGCCAGGTGTGGTGGCTTATGCCTGTAATCCCAGCACTTTGGGAGTCCGAGGCAGGTGGATCACGAGGTCAGGAGATCGAGACCATCCTGGCCAACATGGTGAAATCCCGTCTCTATTAAAAATACAAAATAAAATAGCTGGGCGTGGTGGTGTGTGCCTCTAGTCCCAGCTACTCGGGAAGCTGAGGGAGGGGAATCACTTGAACCTGGGTGGCGGAGTTTGCAGTGAGCCGAGATCGTGCCACTGCACTCCAGCCTGGCAACAGAGAGAGACTCCATCTCAAAAACAAAAATAAAAACAAAAAACAAAAAAAATCTCAGAATAAAAGGTAAACTCCTTAACCTAATAAAGGCTACATTTTAAAAACTTATAGCTAACATCATTCTTAATGATGAAAACTAAACCCTTTCTCCTTCAGATTTGATACAGGCAAACATTTCCTCTCACAACACTGCTATTTAATATCCTACTAGAAGTCCTACTGAGTGCAATAAGACAGGGAAAAGAAATAAAAGGTATGTAGATTGAACAGGAAGAAACAGAACGGTCTTTATCTACAGATGCAATCATTATCTTTGTAGAAGATAATTTTCTCTATAGAAAACCCTCTACTATTTTTGAAAAAAGCTCTTGGACCTAATAAGCTAGTGTAACAAGGTTTGCAGGATATAAGATCATCATACTGAAGTCAATTGCTTTCTAGTAATGAACACTGGAATATCGGAAAGAAGAAACACAAAACAAAACAAATATACCACTTAGAACAGTAAACAAAAATGAAGCATTTAGGTATAAATCTAATAAAATATTTATAATATCTCTGTGTAGAAAACTATAAAATATCGGTGAAAGAAATCAAAGATATGTGTCACTGGAGACATATTTCTTAACATAAATTGAAAAACTCAGTATTGTTAAGATATTGTTTCTTACAACTTGACTTTTATAGATTCAAAGCCATTTCACTCAAAATTCCAGAAAAGATTTTAAAAATATATATAAAGAAATTATTTCAAATTATTTATATAGGCACTTCTCCTTTAAAGAGGTGTGCATGACTTCTCATCTCTTAAGCGTGGGATGTGCAAAGCAACTTCCCTCTAAAGAGTAATGTTAATATAATGTGATGAGAGCCTTTTCTATGATGTCTTTCTCTCAGAAACATATAACACCAGTGTAACCATGGGAATAATATTAAACCTAAATTGAGGTATAGTTTACAAAATACTTGACCAATGCCCTTCAAAACAGTCGAAGTCATCAAAAACAAGGAAGTATGAGAAAATATTACAGTCTAAAGGAGCCTAAGGAGATATGCAACTAAATGGAATGTGGTATTCTGAATAGGATTCTTGAACAGAAACAAAAGACATTAGATAAAAGCTAAAGAAACTGCAATAATACATAGACTTCAGTTAATAATAATGTAGTAATATTGTGTCACTAGTTGTGACAAACATACCATGTGAATGTACGATGTTAACAATAAAGGAAACTGGATACATAGTCTATGAGAACATTCTGTGCTACCCTTGCAACTTTTTTGTTATCCTTAAAATTATCGCAAAATACAAATTATATTAAAAATTTTTTAAACTATCCCCTTTAAAAAATCTTTATTAGGTAAGTAGTTTTTTTCCTTTGCAATGAAAATTAAAATAAATGTTAATATTGTTCATAGGTAAGAACGCAGACAAATGGACATTTTAGATAACTCTGCCAAGAATATAAATTGATAATGTGACTGGGCAACATAGCATGACCCATTTTGTGTAATGGACACAGAGAAAATGTCCATTTTATATAATGAACACACAAAAATTAGGCAGGTGTGATGGTGCACACCACCTGTAGTCCTATGTGGGAGGCTGAGGTGTGAGGATTACTTTGAGTTTTATATTACAGTGAGCTATAATCGGGCCACTGCATTGCACTCCAGCCTGGGTAGCAGAGAAAGAACCTGTCTCAAAAATAAATAAAATAAATATATTGATAATGCATTTTTGAAGAACAATTTATGATATTCAAGGAAAGACAATGAACACTTCGATTATTGACAAAATCAGACCTGAGTTTATTTTGCATAGAAGTTTATTTTGCATATAAGAGTAAACCACTAGTGATGAATTCCTCTCAAAAAAAAAAAAAACACTGCTATGGGTTTCTTTTTGCTACAAAGATGGGGAGGTTGACTGTGGCAGTGGGAATTCAATACTGAAGATGTCATCTTCACAGTACAAAATCAGACCATCCATAAATCCACACACAGTTAAAACAAGTCTTTGTTTGTTTGTTTGTTTGTTTGTTTTTGTTTTTGAGACGGAGTCTCGCACTGTCGCCCGGGCTGGAGTGCAGTGGCGTGATCTGGGCTCACTGCAAGCTCCGCCTCCCTGGTTCACGCCATTCTCCTGCCTCAGCCTCCTGAGTAGCTGGGACTACAGAAGCCCGCCACCACGCCCGGCTAATTTTTTGTATTTTTTAGTAGAGATTGGGTTTCACCGTGTTCGCCAGGATGGTCTCGATCTCCTGACCTCATGATCCACCCGCCTCGGTCTCCCAAAATGCTGGGATTACAGGCGTGAGCCACCGCCCCCGGCCCTAAAGCAAGTCTTATTGTTTGTTGGTCAAGAAAGTCTTCAGCTAGGTAAGGATCTAGCACAGTGGAGTTACTAACATTCTGGACGGTCTAAAATTCATCGTTACCTAGCTTCAGCCGGGCAGACCCAGTTGCAGTGAAAAACAGAACTTAATTTTTGTATCACCTAAGTAACTGTGTATGCAAGTAAAGCACAGTGGCTAAATTTGGCTAGCTGATAAGTACAGACCAATAAATTCTACTTTTGCAAATTTGCTTGTCTTGTGACTTTGGTAAAGTTATATATTGTGAATAAGTTTTCAGTAAATATGTGGTAAAACTTATGATCCAATACTGTATAATGATCTAATTTCTATTTATTTAATTTATCCTTTTTCATCAGCATCACCCCAGACTGTGCTCTCCCACATTATATTTCAGCCTTCAAAACTACTTGCAATTTCTGGATTAACTCACACTCTTTTCTTATTCTTGCCCTTGCGTATACTCTGCCATGATAAAAATACATTTATCTATATGCTGATTATAGCATTTATCATATAATTGTGTCGGCTACTTGTCTATTTTCCCAACTGGGCTCAGTGCTTCTTGAAGGCAGACACAGAGTTTTACTTACGTTTGTATTCTTAGCATTCATAAAATACCTGCATGTTGTAGGCACTCGACAAATCTGTATCTATAGCTATGGACATTGCACTTTAATCAATATTGTGGATCCTCCATCAGTTCTTGAAGCATGGTTTAACAGCTGACATCTAAATGGTTTTTATTAAAGCGTCCCTAAAAATTAAGAGGAAGTACAATAGTCTCTGACCTATTGACTCTTTCCATATCTATTCTTCCAATTATGGAGCATACCTTTCATGACATGCCCCCAATTTCTCCATTTTAAGAGTCTCCCAGAGACCTCTGTTTTATTTCTTTTCAAACAGTTCACTTGGATTTAAGCAGATACATGCAATAACATAATCTCTGTATTAGTTTCCTAGGAATGACATAATAAATTACCACAAACTCGTTAGCTTAAGATAACAGAAATTTATTTGTTCATAGTTGTGGAGACCAGAAGTCCAACTAAAGTGTCAGCAAGGCCATGTTCCCTCTGAAAACTCTAGGAAAAAATCTTATCTTTCCTCTTCCAGCTTCTAGAGGCTCTGGGTGTTCCTTGACTTAGGGCTGCATAATGTTAATCTTTATGTGCATGTTCACGTGGCCTTCTCCCCTGTGGGTCTCTGTCTTCTGTGCTTGTAAGAACACTTGTCACTGGATTTAGAGCCCACCGAGTTAATCCAGAATGACCTCATCTCAAGATACTTAATTAAATCTGCAGAGACTCTATTTCCAAATAAATTCACATTCACAGATATTTAGTGTTAAGTATTAGACATACTGTTTTGGGGCCACAATTCAACTCATTGTCACCCCAAGGAAGGCTCCCAGCTACATGTTGTTGGAGCTCTGAAAACACGTTTGAATGATGGAATCCCAAGATGAAAAGTGATAGTGCTCATGTGTATAATATATACAAATATCGTTTTCATTTTTTTTCCTTAGATGTCTTCCTGGATTTTCTGGTCAATTTTGTGAAATTAATATAAATGAATGCTCTTCATCACCATGTCTACATGGTGCAGACTGTGAAGATCACATCAATGGATATGTTTGCAAATGCCAACCAGGTAATTATTTTAAAAATAATAAGCATACTGCATATATAATAATATATACGTTTATGTAAATGTATATGGACATGTATGTATAATACAATTTTGACAATCCACTCCACCAATACTATTGTTGACTACTAATCAAGTTTTAAGCAATGATCATTCTTTAAAAACATGAAATGAATGTTGTATGATACTAGAAAGCAAGCACTTAGGCTTTCATCAGGAAATCTTAATGTTTAGAGTGTAATACCTTATTGATGGATTTTCTAAACATATGTAAGCCTCATACTTCTGATCTTTGTATCAATTATGCCTGGCACACAGCAAGTACTTTATCAATGTTAGCTCTTATTAGTATTGACATTATTATTTCTTCCCACAATTGTCAGCACAGAGATGGACGAGCTGAATAAACTTGTTTTCTTCAAGGAATAATTGCTGCTATTGTCTAAATATTTGTGTCTCCCTGAAATTCATGTGTTGAACCCTAATCAACAATACGATAGTATAGTATTAAGAGGTGGGACTTTGGAAGATGATTAGGTCATGAGAGTAAAGCCCTTGCGAATGGGATTAGCACTTTTATAAAGTAGACCCTAGAGAGCTAGCTGGCCCTTCCACAATGTGAGGACACAGCCAGAAGGCAACATCTAAGAACCAAGAAGCAGGCTCTCCACAGACACAGGATCTGTCATCAACTTGTTCTTGTACCCTGCAGCTTCCAGAACTGTGAGAAATAAATTTCTGTTTTCTGTAAGCTATCCAGTTTATGGTATTTTTGTTATAGCAGTCTTGAATGGATTAAGAAAACTGCTCATTAAAAATTGGTCTTTTTGGCCATCTCTACCTTTGATCATATTCCTTTTAGGTCTATATTGATATAAGTGATTGTTGATCATGCATTTTTTTCCTTCTTTTTTCTTTAGTTCTCTAACTTCAGATTTTTGCTCTTTTCCTACATCTTCTGCCACTCATCTTATTTTCAACATTCAGTTAACCCAAAACGGATGTTCAATGCCTAAATTTCCTTGAGCAGCAGTAATTTCTCAGGAATATATGTAGGGGATATTTCTGGTCACTTAAAAAAAGTTATTGAGCCAGTCATGATAGTAGCATGCCTATAGTTCCAACTATATTGAGGCGAGAGGATTACTTGAGCCCAGGAGATGGAGGCTGATACATGCTTTGATTGTATCTGTGGATAGCCACTGAACTCCAGCTTGGGAAACATAGCAGGACTTGATCTCTTAGAAAAAAAATAGTCCCTATTTACCTACCTCACAGAAGACTTCAGAAAGCCTATGGAAACCCTAGGGTTCTGGGCTTCTGGTTATTGGGCCCACCACGGAAATAATAGCCATGAGAGTATTAGGACTAATATGATTTATGTGAAGTCATACAAACTAGTGAATACCTATCAACTGAGTGTCACCCACATACTATTTAGAAGTTAAACATCACTCAGAGACCTACTCTGTTTTTTGAACATTCATTACTAGTACTAGGTTTTATTTGGTCACGTAGAACATCTGGAGAACTTTGTACTTCCCTTTTGAAATAGCCAGCCGTACATAAAATGGGAACTCTTGCAGGTAACATAAGTAGAATAAAATTACAGTTTTCTTATATAAGAAATGAATACCATTTCAAACATTTTGCCTCTTTCAAGCAAAAAATATCTTTATTGTGCCCACAAACACTTCATACTCTATGGTAGCTAGCATAAACAATAAATTCTACAGAAACAGTTAAGTAAAATACCCATATAAATTTTGTTTATCATAACAATAGGTATCTTGTAACTACTAGATTCATTTTCTGTTTCATGTTAATAAACATCTTACAGGTGCTAGATTAGTTTTGTTGCTGTAGGTTGATTCCACTACTCTGGATTCACTTGTAAGCATGAGGACATTTTTAAGCTGTTGAATTGTTCAGGCTGCTTTTCAGATCACTATTGGGAAGCAGAAGATCTCAAAATGATACCACCTGTATTGCTAGGCGTTATTCAAAATCTGCTGATACCTTTGACTTTAGAGTTACTTACACTCTTCACAACTTAGTCATGGGAGTGAAAACTAAGTGACAAATGAAAAAGTCAAATTTTTGGAAAATGCTATTGACACGTCCCCAACACTCCTGTCTCTGCTCCAGCCATAGCTCTTAATCATGCCAATCCATCCTCCCTTTAAAGTTATTTAAGGAATAATCTTGCTCCTGCAGATTACTCTTCATCCCTTTCTCATTTTCTTAATGGGCATAGTTTGCCACGGTTTCAGGGTATTTTTATTCCCACAGTAAAATTAACTCTCTTGTGTACAATTTTATAGCTTTGGTAAATGCATAAAGTTGTGTAACCACCCTCACAGTAAGGCAATTAACCACCATCCTCCAAAATTTTCTCATGCTGTCCCTTTGTAATTAACTCTTTACCCCCAAAAGGAACTGATTTTGATAGAATACTAATTTTTCTCTATAATTTTTATTGAAAATTCTACCTTTTTTCAGCACCTCTGTCTCGTGTATATGAATTTTATATTTCGAAGATCAAATGTGTGAGTTCTTTGGCATGTATGTGCTTAGAAAATAATAATAATATCAGTATTACTGCATAGACACCATGTTATTTTAGATGTATTAACTAATTAAGTTTTCATAGCATCGAGAAAAGGGCATCTCATTTTACCTAATTTTTCTAATAAGGAAACAGAGTCCCAGAACCACTGGGTAATGTCCCACAACATGTTAGTGGCAAAGCTAAGATTCACACCTAAGAAGTCTGCACTGACACTTGTGCATTCATCATTTCTCATATTCCCCCAAAATGTTATCTTGGTGAAGAGAAACTCCTCATAAAGTTTCAGTCATGCAAGATGAATACATTCTAGAGATCTGTACAATATCATGCCTATAGTTAATAGTAATGTATTACACAGTTAAACGTGTTAAATGGTGAGAGCTCATGTTAAATGTGCTTACTACAGTAAAAAATTGAATTGACCAATCATTAAAAAACAAAGGCCTTCCCCAATAAAATCAATCAGTGTGGTTCAGCTTAGTCTAGATGTTAGCAATTCTAAACACTGTGAGAATTCTCAGGAAGTCTCCTACCCAATCTGTTTTTCTCTTTAAAAGATTCCATTAGAAAAATATAAAACTTTTCACTCTTCTGAGTAATTCACAGCAATTTGCTTTCTCCTAAATGCCATAGAAAAACACAAAGACTGATTCATTTCATTTACACATGTCCACTTCTCTGTCATTGATTTTTAAAAAGCCTCAAATAATTTTGAAAATTTTTTCCTAGGCTTTGATCTCAGTCATGCCATTATCTTATCTTACACAGCTCCAGGTAGAAAACTACACAAGTATTCCTCTGTCTTTAAATTGGCTAAACACTATAAATCATTGCCATTTTCTTCAGTTGTGGAAATCTTTCTTACATTCATATTATGTTGCTAATTATCAAAATACTCTTGTCTTTATCTAACAACAACTCCATGGTTGTCATCCTGGGTAACTCCACCTCTATGCCAAAAGGTTTTATCTCTTTTCTCCCTTCCCTCTTCATTTTAGTACAAACAGAGCTGTGTGAATCCTGCAACATTCTGAACAGAGCACAGTTTGAAAAACTAAATACTGTTTTCCCCACCAGACAGTCTGCAAAACACACTGAAATTTAACCTGGATATAAGTGGGTTAGAAGACATTGTAAATGTTGTTTATTTTTGTATCACCAAATCCTAGTAGAGAGTTTGTATCATAATCAGTCCTTGGGGAGTGTTCAGCACATATTGAAAAAGTACAATTCATTTATGATGGCCAATGTTGTCCAGTCATGACAGGGCCATGGTAAGCATAAAGCCCTCCACCATCTCTAGGCAGAAAAATTATATAAATATGCCACTTCCTCCAAGCCAACAAGGTATAAGACTTGACAAGTGGAGCTCAGGTTAGATTTCAGACCTCACTCATCCTCTTTGCATGAATTCTTTGTGCAAGAAACATCCTGAACATCATTTAGGACAGTCCTAATCACAGAGTTCATCCTGTACCTATATAGGGAATTAAATGGGTTTTTGAGCTCATTTCCAATGAAGTATCAATATAGGTATTCAGATGTTTTTTATAGAAATAGAAACACACTTAGTGTGTTTTTAGCCGAAATAGTACCATGTATAGTGTTATCTAACAATGTAGAACACCCAGTAAGTGATCAGAGCTATCCCATGAAGAGCAAATTGAAAGTGATAGGGAACAGTTTGTGTACCACAAATTCACTCAGAGTTGTTCTCAATCCCTGGGACAGTCACTGTGCCCAGATACTTTTTATACCCAGCAGGGGTGCAATGGTGTTATATTGCTGGTGATGCAAACTTCAAATGCATGTTTTGCCCTTAAAGTAGTATTGTTCATTTTGTAGCAGAAATGCTGCACTATCCTTGGGGCAAGAAAACAGAGAAACAAACATAGATAATATCTGCCACCAGTAGCCACAATTATTGTCGATGATGAGGTGGCTGCATTTAGAACAAAAGAGATACAGAATAATCTTTTTTTAAATCAAGATCCATGAAAAGTAAAGAAATCCTTATTATGAGATAAAAGAGTGTATACTATTGTATTTTCATGAGGGTGTACATGTAAAATTTTTTTACATATTCTAGAGTTAGACTAAGAAGAGAAAATAATTTTATGTTATCCAATTACTAAATAATGTATTAACTAGTTAGACAAAATTATTTTAGGTTTAGGTTTATTTTTATTTTATATTCATAACATCAGATAGAAATCACTATGGGCAGAGAGGGAAAATGAAATGAAAATAAAATATATAAATCTTAGAAGTAGTGACATTTATTTTCATTCATAAACTCAAAGTATTATAACTTATGTTATAGAATGGTAATATTAAAACTGGTCAATATTTCTAGCTGAATATATCAATGTATTTAAAGATTTGGTTTAGTCTTCAACTTAAGATCACTCTAGTTTTAGGCTGGGTGGGTTGGCTCCCTTGAGCCCAGGAGTTTAAGGTTGCAGTGAACTGTGATCATGCCACTACACTCCAGCCTGGGTGACAGAGCAAGATTGTCTTTAAAAAAAAATTAGTAAAAATTTACTCCAATTTTATTGCAATGTGTCACCTAAAGTTGTCTTTATTTTGCACCACAATTATTTTAAATCATTTATTCCTTATGCACTTACTTACTTTATATTATGTGTCAGACATTAGGTTAATACTATTAGTTTAACACCATAATAATTTGATTACTTTTCCTAGATTGCTAATGACAATTTTTGGTTTTTGTTTTCAGTTACCAAACTATTTTCTGAATATTTGGTTACCTTATTAAGAATGAACATAAAACCTACATAAGATTCAAAAGAAAATATATTTCATTTCTGAACATTAAAAAATCCAATAAATATTTATTTGCCTGATTTATGTTTTCTTATTCTGGTCTCATTTCTTACCCATTACCTTGTCCCACACCAGAATAAGCACCTATTCATCTTACGTGTTTCTTCATACTAATGGGTATGATTGACACTCAGTATCCACTCCCATGTAGTGTGGTTTCCTGTACTGCAGAGGCAAGAGTATTGAAAACTACAACTTCCAGAATCCTTCAAAACTGGAGTTGCAAATATAATTGAGTTCCACCAGTAAGAAACATACCTAAAATCTGAAGGCTCTGATGGAGACCATTTCTGGGTGTCTTAGCAGATTCTTCTGGTAAAAAAAAGTCATGGAGCTATGTGGATCTTTGCAGCAGATCTCACTGTAGAGTCACTATTTCAGTGCGTAGGTGCATTGAAACGGCAGCTGCCTGGTGGTCAACCTTCCTTGGATTAGCACAATGGGCTCTTGAACTCAAAAATCCTAAGAGTGCTTTTATATTTCTCATCTTCCTGATCCTGACTGAGGGGACATCTTCCAGAAAGTCATACCTGTGGTTCTTGGTGTTACTCCTACAGCTTTCCTTCCTTCTGATAATTTTGTAAGCATCTAATTCCATTATTCAGGTCCGTTTTGCTTAAATAACTAGAGTGATTTCTGTTTCTTGTAATGAATCTTGACTAATTTATTTTCTATCCTTGTTTGTTGTCTTTGACCAACACAGCCTTAATGTTTTTCTCAGTTTGACTAGGCTTTAGACAGACTTCTTCCTGACTATAGGGCCTGATCTCCCTTTTCGTAGAGCATTTACTTTAGAAAACTTGTAGTTGTAAATTATTTCTCTGTCTCTTTGAGATGTAAATCTTCTCTCAGGCTGTTTCCCAAGGACCTGGGAGTCATTCCTTCAAAAATGTAATCCTGTACTCCGGGGGCTGAGGTGAGAGGATTGCTTGAACCCAGGAGGTTGAGGCTGCAGTGATGTGTGATCATACCCCTGCACTCCAGCCTGGGCACCAGTGCAAGACCCTGTCTCAAAAACAAAACAAAACAAAACAGCAAAAACAACAACAATGAAAGACAAAACAAAACAAATGTAACCCTGGAACGAGACAAATAGTGCCCCTATTTCCCAGTCTCTTTGGGAGAGTAGAAGCCTAACTTCAGTAAGAGACAGCAAGTACAGGTGGCCTATTGAAATTGACCAAATTCCCACCCACCCAAACATCCCCCTGGTACTTTTCTGTTAGCTCACCTGGCCTTTAAAAATGTTCCTGCTCCCATTTATTTTAGTGGGGTTGAGTACAAGCTCTCTACTCTATTGTAAAAATCTGTCTCCTATGCAGTACTCTTGAATGAAGTCTTCTTTGTCTGTATAACTGGCCCAGTGCAATTTTTCTTTTACACTTCCCATCTTATGGTTTAAAGCTTTATCATGTTCTTCACAGTATGAGAAGCAAAGGAAAACTATGTCATTTTAATTGCTTAAATTATATTTTGAAATATTCGATCAGAAGAGGATACAATATATAAAAAATACAAAATACACTGTAATAAATGTGTATAACTACCATGTGTTCTGAGAAATAGAATATTAGCAATAATTCTCGCCACCTCTATATCCCTCCAGGGACATCCCACTCCCTGAAGTAACTATTCTGAATTTTATATCAGCATTCCTTTAGTATTTGTTAGAGTTTTATTATATATGTATGCATCTCTAAGCAATGTTACTAAGTTTCATATGCATTCGAATTTTATAAGAGCATTTATCAGGGTGTATTTTTATGCAATATGTTTTTATGCTCAATAATATGTTTGTGAGACTCAACTATGTTTGTGAGACTCAACAAAGTCATATTGGCTTTTTATAAACCCTGTGAAGATGTTTTTTTCCATATCACCTTTTACAGCCTCTTCAGTAGAGATCTCTGCAGAATCAGCCCAGCACATGAAAGAGCATTGCAAAGTGGAAAGAGTCTTGGATGAAGATTTGATAAATTTAGTCTCTTGGCCGCTATTTCTAAGTTTGATGTGGACATTGCCATGTCTTTTAGACTCAGGCCCTATTTGTTTCTTATAATGAAGTGTTTCAATAAATCATTTCTAAGTACCTCAAAATATGTATTTAATTGTTTTGTTACAATTTATCAGGGAAGAACAATCAGAATATCTTCCTAAGTATAAACAATAATTAAATTTTACATTTCCCAACAGCCAGGGTTCAGATTAAATGCTATTGGACAATACATAGAAAAATAAAGAAAAGTTAAAAAGTTGTGATTAGAGTAAGCATAGTCAGTGAGCAGTGAGAGCTGCCTGTAAAGACCCATTGTCCCTATGTGGAAGGGTATACTTAGGTTAACATGATGTTGTGGCTAGCATGTTAGGCATATTAAGATTCATTAGAAGTAATTATCTGATGGGAAAGAATCAATGGTTTCAAAAAAATGTTCCTAATATCTACCCAGTAAAGCATAGCTGAGATATTAGCTTATGGAATACTTAGCAATGTTGGTTGATAGGTTGATGATGGAAATAATAAAATGTTTGACTAGCAAAAGCCAAACAAAATACATACAATCAAACTGTGTTTTGGTCTGGAAAATTTTAGATTGTCATGTTTAATGAGAATTCTTACAGCCAATGGCCAAATGTACGTAGACACAATACTTATATTCTATAGAATCACAGTATAACAAATACTAAATGTAAAATACTAACTGTAATACTACAAGTATCACAAATAACATTGTATATCTAGAGATCTATAGTAGGTGCTTTCCTCTGAATTTAAGATTCATATTAAGGGAATTATTAAGTGTCTTTATTCTATTGCTTTCCATGTATTTATTCCAAAGTAAAATAAGTAAAGACATTTGAATATGTAATGTTAAATGGCACCACGGATAAGAGCTGAGACATATCATACATGTACTCACTTTCATTTATACTTAACTAGGTGATTTTAGAGCAAATTATTTATTTTCTCTGAGTTTAATTTTCTCTTGAACTAAATAGAGATAGAATAAGAGCTACCTGATAAACTGATCATGAAGATACACTGAGGTAATTTGTACAAAACATCTAGCATAATTATTTCAAATAGTAAAAGCCAATAAATATAGGCTATTAGCATAACTGTTTTTATTATCATTAAAAATTGCATATCTGCTTTGTAATTTTGTTGAACAGGATGGTCTGGACACCACTGTGAGAATGAGCTTGAGTGCATTCCCAACTCATGTGTTCATGAACTCTGCATGGAGAATGAACCTGGCTCGACATGTTTATGCACACCTGGATTTATGGTAAAGATTACTGGTGGTTGTGGTTGTAATAATTTTTTATTCTCTTTGATACACAGTAAATAGTAGAAAATTATATGGTGAAAAATAAGGTCGGAGTAGTTAATCTTCAGCGCATCTCTCCTTCTCTGTGCACGCTACACTTTTCTCGGCATTCCTCTTTCCCTTGTTGTCCGTGCATCACTTGCACCCTCAGTCCTTTCTTTCAGAAGAAAAACATTCTGATAAACTGATCCACACCAAGGTGCAAGTGACTTAATGTATTGGCCTTTAATGTCTTAATGCATTTGGAAGGAGGATGCCAGTGGAGGAATTACTTAATACCGTCAGGGTCTTGGCGGAACTTTTATTTTGCCCAAGGACATAGTACTACTTCCAGGGTTGGGCTCAGCATATTGTATGTCCGAGGAGGACGGATCTGCTTCCTCAGCAAGTTTGAACTGGCCTGAACTCCATTAGCACTAGAAATGACTTTCCTTGGTAAAAATGTCTCTATTAAAAAATAGCATTTGACCACAGTCTTTTATTAAAACTGACCGCAGCCCATGAATATAGTGAAAAAACAGCAATTGGTAAGAATGTGTTATCAGAAATTTTAAATGTATATTTATAAATATCATTATTAGACCAGCCTTCACTGAAATTAAGGCTAAATAATTAGAGATGGGGTATAGTCAGGTGACTAGAGTCAGTGCCAGAATAAAGAATCATACTTCAAGCATCTGGCCAGTGTGTATAAAAGATGAACAAGTGTGAAGGGAAGTGTAAATGGAGCTAGAAACTCCTTCTCAGAAGTGAAAGATCAGAAAGGAAAAACCAGAACCAAGAGTCTCTAGACGAGGTTAAGGAATTACATAGAAAAAAATAATCAATAACTGTCACGGAACACAAGATTTTGAAAAATCAATTGTAGAAGGACCTGGGCTTAAGTCCAATGCTGTTCCCTCTTAAAGGATATTCCCAGGGCTCATCTGTTTTGGAGGGATATGAATGAGCTCAAACAGATATCTTCCTTTCTCTGAGAATTCTCTAATTTTGGATTTGCCCTAGGAAAAAGATTTTCTCTTACTGCTACAAAAGCGATAGATCTTTGGAGAAAAATATCAGATGCTCTGATACTTAAATTGGAAGTTAGTTGGTACCAAGAAGTTATTTTTCTGACACCTCAGATTATACCAATAATGTCTTCCTCGAAGAGTCAGTATAAAGAGCAAAATACTGAGATGTGTCTTTTATTTAACTATGTCTTCTGCCAGTGCAGCCTTAGATACGTAGGAATCTAAATAACTTAGAAAATCAATGCTTATTTTACATATGATATGTTTTCATAAAAACAAATAATTTACTACCAAATATCTATAAAATTTCCTGAAATAGTTAATCTCCTGGTATATGTTCTTTCACATGTGAAATATGAATCTATTAATATTTGAGCTCTTTCTTTAATAAAAAAATCAAATCTGAAGGATAAATACATTAGTATATGTTAGAAATAGAAACATCTTGGAAAATATAGTTTTATAAGACCACATGTCTACTAAATAGAAGAAAATGTTATAGACATAATGCATTTACATTTTAGTAAGGCATTTACTAAATTAATTTCAAATGGATAGTTTTGCAACCATTCTCTAAGTACTTGAAAGCTGAAACAAAATTTAAAAACTTGTCATAGCAAGAGATAATGTTTGTGTGAAATGCTACAATGAGATAAGGGAGATTCAACTTTTGCTAATGCATTAGTTATTCTTTAAAATGAGTAGCTAAAGATAGGGGAAATTCAGTTTATTGAAAAAGAATTTTAACATTGAAATGTTATTCATGCCAATGCTATAGCAGTATGTATTTACTCTAAATTAGATATTCCTAAGAAATATACTTTTGAAAATAACACGCAAATTATTAATTGGAACAGAAAATAAAATAATCTGCTGAATTATCAGAAAATCAAATATTCAAAATATTTGATAAAATATTTGTAGCACGTTAAATTTGTAAATATTGAAATAAAATATTGAAATGGATACAGGTATGGAAAATGCATAAAAACATTAGAAAATCACTTTTTAGGTTTATTTTTCCCTCCCCCACTAATCTTTAGTGCAAATGGGATATTAAAAGAATAAAAATCACAACCATGGGGAAATGTGAAACTTCATGGGTACTTCATTCACAGGAAGATATCAAACTTGAGAGAGTCTTAAGAATAAAGCAGTTATAAGAATTAGAAAAAAGGTAAATTGATTTGCATTAGTACTAAAAATGAAGTGTGTACATAGAGTGTAGGTGAACATGAAAACAGTGTCCATAATGGAGAGTTGACAATGTACAGGGGGTAAGTCATGGCATTCTAGCACTAGAATAGATGGGAAGAGACTAAACATTGCATCAGTTATCACATTCTGTTGGAACGTTTGCTCATTTCTCTGTCAACTCTGAAACACTGTAAACTCCTGAAGGACGAAGACAACACTGGACGTTGCAGTATTCCTAAGAGCACAGAGCACAGTATAGGCGGTCACTAATTTACAATTATTCGATTTTATGATTGTACGAGAGTGACATACGTTCAGTAGAAATGGTATTTTGAACATCCCTACAACCCTTCTGCTTTTTACTTTTAGCACAGCATTCAATAAGTTACATGATCTATTCAACGCTGTAATATAAAATGGGTGTGGGGTTGAATGATTTTGCCCAAGCTGTTGGCTAATGTAAGTGTACTGGACAAATTTAAGGTAGGCTAGGCCAAACTATGATGTTCAGTAGATTAGGTGTATTAAATGCATTTTCCACTTACAATATTTTCAACTTTTGATGGGTTTATCGTAATGTAACCCCATCATAAGTCGAGGAGCATCTGTATACGTGTTTTCATTTTGGTCATCATTGTTAAGGTTGTTTTATTACTGCTCATAGCATATTAGTCACAGTTGTTTTAAATTCCCAGTCTGATAATTACAGACTCCCTGTCATACCTGAGTCTGACTTCAATGCTTACTCTGTCTCTTCTATTTTTTTGGCTTTTAGTGTGTCTTGTAATTTTATATTTAAACACATGATGCATTGCGTAAAAGGAACTCAGATAAATAGGCCTGTAGCATAACATTTTATGTTTATCTGGCTAGGAGTCAGGCTGTGTTTGCTATGCTACAGCCATAGGTGTCAGAGGTCAAAATTTCGTCTTATATTTTTATTTTCATCTTGCCTGTTGTATTTTGGTTTCATTAGAAAATTCTTCTTAAAGAAGTGTGAGGTGTGGAGTTCTTTCAGTTGTAATCTCCTGTTGTTATAAAAGATCCCTGTTGATATGGCAGTAAGGTGTAGGGAGAGGGTAAGCCTTTAACAGTCCTATAATTAGGTCTCAGTCTTGGTGATTCTGTGCCTCTGGTCTGTGACCTTCGAATGTGCTTCTCTGTACCCCATTCCCTTAGGTGAGACAGAAAATCTACACAGGGCTGGAGTTGGGTATTTCCCTTCCTGCAGGTCAACTAAGCTCTGGTAAAATAGTTTCACTTGAGGACAAGCCTTGTTAAGAGGAACAGAATGCTCTGGGAGTCTTCAAAATGGCTATTCTCTCCTCTCCATGCTGGAAGCATGAGGGGATTTTTCTCCAAACCTCACTGTGAGAACCCTGTAGCATTTTTGAACATAAAGTTCATTACAGTGTGGGATATTCCCTAAGAGTGGGCTCCCCTGTAGTTTCTAACTAACTCTCAAGCTCGTACACACTGAGCCTCCAGCATTTCATCAATTACAGTTTGTTTTTCTACCCTGGTTTTGGCTCCAGCAGAGGTTTCTGCTTCTGAATTTCTGCTCTGGTAAGCTATAATTCTTTGTACCTGCCTGACTGTCTCTCCAATGTTTGGGGGCAGAAGTTTTCCTTTAGTGGGAAATGATCTCAATTTTCTTAAAAATCTAAGAAGAGTTGATTTTTAGTTTGTTCAGCTTTTCTCTTATTGTGTAGATGGGAATGATGACTTCCAAATTCTCTACACACCAGACCAAAACCCAGAATTTTGTGATTGTTTTAGAATGAAAGGACCTATGAATATATTTATTAAGAAAACATGAATGGATTTTCTTTCATTCATGTAATTCAATGTGTCTTTTAAAAAAAGGATTTTGTTGTTCTAATTAGGCTTCTCAGGTATCTCAACTTGAATGGTTGTCTTGTTTTTCAGAGTTACTAGAAGGCTTTATGGGATTGTTCAAAAGTCATTAATTTGGCAATCAGATTCTCCATTAACATGTAAAAAATTAAAAATTAAAAATTGTCTTGCATGTGTACTCTAACTACACCAGCTGATACAGTAGCACATGCAATCTGTGTAAAGAACATTCAAATAATTCAAATAATTGAAATATGTTTGTATTGAATTTTTAATTGAACATGAAACAACAAAGCACAATTCAAAGCAATAAGGCTTTTACCTAACAATTTGTAGCAATTCTCTTCACATTAAATCCTTTTATGTTCACCTGAACTTCCCTCTAATATCTTTCTTCTCAGAGATCTTCAGAAAAATGGCACTTTTTTCCCAGATTCCTTTTATTTAAGCTACTTTAAAAGTTTCACTAATTAGGTCATCATATAAAAATGTTAATTCAGCTACATATTTACAGGATTAGATAGGATTAATATTACTACAGTTATTCTTGTTTAATGATGAAGAGTGATGTGGGAGGTAAATAGTCCCTGCTGGGTAGGGAGATGGGAAGCTGTTTTTTTCTTTATTTCTGAGAATTAATTTTTTGAAGATAACATTAAAAGTCTGAACTCTCAGGTTTTTCTTAATGTTTAGAGCTATGACAATCTCTGACAAGCTGATAATTAGTGAATATTATTTGTTTAAGCAGATCCAATTACAAAAGTGATTCCAAACAAGATTAAAGTACTTACATCATTTTGAAATTCAAATGTTCTGTAAAAGAATTTAAATGACAGAATACAATTTTTGAATGTCCTAAACTTGCTTAAGAATTCAAGAAAAATGATCATTCTCTTTTTCATTTGATCAGAACTGCTCATTTCTTCCTCAGTAAATGAAATTCTGCCAAACAAGATTGATCTCCATGCATTAACCGATGAGTGTCTATTGGTCAGGCTTATTGTGTTTTGTAAATGATAGAGTCGATGAAAGTGTTAATTACAGCCCTTAAATTAAAACACAGATGTTTATATAGTGTGGAAGCTGTATTTGTATTAAAATGAAGAAAAAATGGAGAAACTATTTTCTGAGAAAAAAGGGTTCTGAGTTCTACAGAAGGACAGCCTATTTGTGGTGTTCAGTTTTTAAATGTCATCTTCAAAATAAACCTAACACAGAAGACACCAGTATAGCAAGACAGACAAACATTTTGATGTATGTCTATGTTTCTGGTCTTTATTTTCTCATGTGATAAAGTCATCAATATTATTAATAAATATTTACCAAGTGTTTTCTGTGTTTGAGATGACTTGTTCTATTAAAAAATATTTATTATCTCCTAATAGGAAATAAAGCAAAGATGCCATTTTAGACAAACTCGTAATGCTCTTTTAAGTAGATATTTTTGTGGTTTTGACATTTATCCTTATTTGAATTCAAGTAATTTGTATTTTAGATCAGTCAAAACACATCTTTTGGATACTCACTAAAACAATGTATTTGGAAAACTTATAAAGAAATACATATACACTAGTCTTACATTCAAATTAAGGAAAAGAGTACAGGCTCACATCCTCTTGCAATGCACTAAAAAAATCAATAATGCTCTTATTCGGGTGAAATTTGATAGTTTTCTCTAATATATGTTGAGCACCATTTTTTGCAGATCCTTAAAATAATATAAAAATCAATTAGTTTCAGTTTGTTATCCAAAGAGAACATTCAGCTGTATGGAAGAGACAAATAATGTGTGGGATAATAAGGAAGTCAGCATTGGGTACAAAATGAAGAAAACTGTATGATGAGGGAAATAAAAGCATTAGCTAGGACGCTTATTTGGTAGTAATATTAAAAAATAATAAAGCAATTGGCGAACTCTGAGTAAAGTAGTCGTTAGGAAAGATTTCTCAATGGACAAAAGATAATGGCTTCCTCCTAAGGATTAGAAAGGTATCTCTAAAAGCGCTGAAACTTAATCTGCACCACATAGTGGAAGTCCACCCTGAGGGTTTGCTCAGTACTGCTAATGAGAATGCTAAATATAAAATAGCCATAAGAAATAAGGCTCGATCTGCTTCTCAGGACAAGTTTTACCACAAACAACAAAAAAAACACAAAAAATGTATTTTCCTCTCCCCAGATCAATTAGGCTCTGGTAACAGAGAGCCAAGATCCTAGCTTTTATGAAATCTACCACCTAAAAAGCAGAGGATGCATGGGGGAAGAAACAAAATTATTGTGTTTATTTATTTGTTAATTTGTTTATGGGCAGCAATGAGTGCTATGGGGGGGAAAAAGATGGAGGGATGTGTGTTCTGAGCATTTCTAAGCAACACAGTGACAGTATTTTGTAATGCAAGATATGTGAGGGTTTTGGGGGAGGAGATGGTGCAAACTAGAATAAAGACATAAATATTAATGAAAAGAGGAAGTTTTCTGTATTAAATAAGTATAATGTATAATGAAAAATGTAGTTTAATATTTTCAGAAGTAGAATATTTAAAATAAGTTGCCTTACATTTTATTATGGCACAGCTGTGATGTACAATCTAAATGTCTTACAACTTGCTTGTTGCAGTGGCTCATGCCTGTAACCCCAGCACTTTGGGGAGCCAAGGCTGGTGGATCACTTGAGGTCAGAAGTTTGAGATCAGCCTGGCCAACATGGTGAAACCCCGTTTCTACTAAAAATACAAAAATTAGCCAGGCTTGGTAGTGGCTGTCAGTAATCCCAACTACTGGAGAGGCCAATGCACAAGGATCGCTTGAACCGGGGATTTGGAGCTGGCAGTGAGCCGAGATCTTGCCACTGCACTCCAGCCTGGGCGACAGAGTGAGACTCAAAAAAAAAAAAAAAAAAAAAAATTCTTACAACAGCAGTTTTTATTGGTAAATGGAGTATGGTAAAATAATGACCACCTCATAGACCTATGTAGATATTAAAGATAATGAATGCCCACCTTTCATCTTTATGCATCAGATTTTTGCTTAATGTGGCTGGTGGAAGAATGTATTTGGTAGAAACCTAGAATATATTTAATGTCATATATTGACTCAAAAAAGTAATGGCTTAACATTTTAGACTTCAATTAGATGGAAAATTCTCTGAGCCTGTTTCTTCACTTACAGCATGAACATGTGGATGAATTAAAAGCTTGGCTATATTGAAGATAACATTGTTAACCCATTGGAGAGTTGGGCACAGAATTTTAAATGCCCATACTTACAGAATGGTAGATCAGTGTTCTTTCCTCTATGCCATAAATGTTATCCATTTATTTTTAAGATAGATAACTAAATGCAATATCCATTTATTTTTAAGATAAATAACTATATTATTGTCTATATATAGTTAATATATTATATAACTAAATATATATATTTAGACAAGCTCTTTCTCTGCTGCCCAGGCTGGAGGGCAGTGACATGATGATAGCTCACTGCAGCGTCAAACTTCTGGGCTCAGATGGTTCTCCTGCCTCAACCTACCAAGTAGCTGGAAGTACAGACATGTGTTCCCACAACCAGCTAACTTTTTATAATATTTTTTGTAGAGATGAGGTCTCACTATGTTGCCAGGCTTGTCTGGAACTCCTGGCCTCAAGCACCCGTCCTGCTTCAGCCTCCCAAAATGCTGGGATTATAGGCATGAGCCACAATGTCTGTACAAAGATATTATTAAGCTACTCTCTAAAATAAAAACAGATTGGATTCCAAAATCCATTCCGAAGTCCTACAACTTTGCCGTAGTCTACAAGGCTGTGTGCAGTTTGACCCCTTCCTGATAACTTCTCTAGCCTCACTTCCTCCTGATCTTCTAACCCTGTACTGTAGCCCCCTATTTAGCCTTCAGTTGCTCAAATATTCCCTTCAAAATTCTGGCTGTGTGTCTTTGCACATGCTACACTTTAACTAGAATGATCTCCAATCCTTCCTGCCCACTATCCCAATTCTACTCATCTTTCAGGTTTTAGCATATGTCCCTCTTTTTCAGGTAAACCTCATAATACTGCCACAACATGTGCTTAGGTAACTCTTTTTTTCTTAAACTATTTTCTGGAAGAGCTTTAGGTACACAGAAAAAGTGAGCAGAAAATACAGAGAGTTCTCATATACCCATCCCTACACACATGCACAGGCTCCCTCACTATCAACATCCCATGACAGAGTGGTACATTTGTTACAATCAATAAATCTATATTACATCATTATCACCCAAAGTCTGTAGTTCACATTAGAGTTCACTCTTGGTCTTGTACATTCTTTGGGTCTGAACAAATGCATAATGACATGTAACCACCATTATAGATACAGAATAGTAACAATGCCCTAAAAATCCTCTGTGATCCTCCTGTGAATTCCTCTGTCCCCTCCATCTCTGGCAATCATTGATCTTTTCAGGGTCTTCATAGTTTTGCATTTGTAAGGATGCCATATAGTTGAAGTAATACAGTATATAGCCCTTTTAGATTGGCTTCTTTCACTTAATAATGGGGATTTAATATCCTTCCAGGATTTTTTCATGGCATGAGAGCCCCTGTCAGGGCTGAATAATGTTCCATTGTCCAGATGTACCATGGTTTATCCGTTCAACCTACTAAAGTTTTTCTTGATTGTTTTCAAGTTTTGGCAATCATGAATAAGGCTGTTATCAATATTCTTGTGGAGTTTTTTGTGTGAACATGTTTTCAATTCGTTTGCTATACATCGAGGCACACACTCACTGGATTATACAGTAACAGTATGTTTACTTAGAAACTGCCCAACTGTTTTCTAAAATATTTGTACCATTTTGCATTCGCACAAGAAATTAGGCAGCATTTTATAATTTGTCTTCATAGCAATTACTAAAATTGTAATTCATCAATTATTTTTGTGGCTATATATTTATTATTTGACCAACTACTCTCACCTCCCTTCCTCTTCTTCTCTATTCCCTTCTCCCTCTCTGGTCTGCTTTTCTCCTCTTCAATAAGTTCCATAAAACAGGAACTGTGCACATATTACCTACTTCTGTTCTCCAGGCAGATACAACATAGTAGATTCTAAATAAAATTTTGTTGATTATTATACATGAACGAAAACATGAATGGATTACAATTATTGTGGTGTTAATCACAACTAAGCACAAGAATTTTGTGGAACAGTCTGTTGAATGCAATATCATACACTGCTAAAGATATAATGCATTGTTTTCTACAATAATATTTAGAGTGATTTAAAATATCACTTGAGCCATAAGCTTCCATTAAAACGTTATTATTTATGAAGGAAGCCTAACTATTTGCCAGGCTAAATGTCTTGGATACTTTACCCTATTGAATGATTAAAACAATTTTGTGATGTAAGAATCATTATTTATTCCTATGGTGATGATGAGGAAACAGGCTCAGAGATGTTGGTCGCTTATTCATAGATAGCAAATGTTAGAATGTAGTTTGTCCAGTGAATACAAACCCTATATCCATGAGCACTACGTCAGAAAGTTTTCACTCTGCAACCAAAATACAGTTCTAGATCTTTTCACTCTGAGCCATACTCAGATTTCTTTTGGTGAGCACAGAATACATTAACTTATATAAAGATTAGCTTATCTATTCTGTTATGGCCTGAGTGTTTGTATCTCCCTCACCCAAATCCAAATGTTGAAGTTCTAACCCCTAAGACTATGGTATTAGAATGTAGGGCTTTTGGGAGGTGATTCAGTCATGAGGGTGAAGTACTCATGATTGGGATGAGTGCTCTTATAAAAAAGCTGCAGATAACTAGATAGTCCCTTCCAGCCTATGAGGACATAGTTAGAAGGCACCATCTGTGAGAAAGCCGACACTAAACATCCCTCAACTTGTACTTCCCAGCCTCCTGATCTATGAGAAATAAATTTCTGTTATTTATAAGTCAACCAGTTTATGGTATCTTTTTTTGCAGTAGCCTGAACAGACTAAGACTTAGTGCCTTCAATTTTTTCTTTTTTTTTTTTAACCAAAACTTCTTTTCTTCACATGGTTCTTACATGATAACAAATGGAACTGTGCATTTTACACCTGCTAGCTTATTCTAGAAATAATTAAATTCTGGCAAGGCAGTGGGAGAAAATATAACTTGCATCTATTGCGTTTTTTATGATAAAAACCAATCTCTGTTTCTCTGCTTTTTCTGGCATTGCCACTGAGAAACGGCAGGGTTTTATACTTCTCTTTTGGCTTAGGAGTCTTTTTTTTTATTCATACAGAAACCACCTGCTTTAAGCTTTTCCCCCCTTAATTAAAAATAAATGAAACTAAGAAAAGAGTTAATGCGTAGGAAGGAAGACCTGTTGGTTGTTGCTCTCCATGCAGCTCAGGGATACTGACGTACAACACAGCATATCTTGCTTGCTGCTTTTGATATATTTTGGATGTTAGATGGTGTCCTTGTATGATAGTGTTTGATTTGGTTTTGCCTTACTTTCTGTAACTGTTTTCATGTCATTTGCACTTGAATTCCCAAGTAAGGAGAAGGCTGTGTGCACATTCCCAGAGTTTGAAGACTAGCTTCAAAGACTTTCTGACTATAAGGCTGACTCACTTCAATCTGAAAGGAGAAAGAAAATATGTATTGCCACAGTATGTTGTAGAAAATGAGAGAGGCTTGAAAGTGTTCAGAAGACATTGTTCTTAATGTTCTAAAATGAAGATGCCAACTTAATGTTTCTAATGATAAATTAGTTAAAGATAAGTATAAAATGATCAGTGTATTCATTGGTGTGTGACAACTGTGGCTGTTTGGGTTGGTATAGAATAATACTCCAAGGGAGAAATGGGTAAACAAATGATAATATATTAACTAATATGTGTTGATAGAGGTATAAAAACAAGATGCTATGGATGGCAAAATAAAGGTATGCAGTCCAAATTTGTTTGCTCAGATTGGCTCAAGTAATAGTCTATATAGGAGGTCAAGTGTAGCAAGTCTTCTTGAATACAAGGAGACATTGTTCTAGGGAGAACAGGTAGGAAAGCTTGCAAGTTACTTTCAAGGAGTGTGAATGGAAAGATGTGAGGTTATGTTATTTTTTAATATATCCTTTATGACACATATTTTAGCACTTAATATGTGTATATTGTTGAACTTAGATTCTAACAACTATTTAAGATTTTTTTTATCCTAAGAAACTCAGATTCGTAGAGAAGAGATACAACATGCAAAACAACAATTATAACACAGAAAAGAAATGGGTAAGCAGCATAAAATGTAAACACATAACATTATACAGATTCAGAGAATGAGGACATTATTTCCAATGGAGGAACGTAAGATGTTTCATGAAATAAATGTCTTTTCTTATGAGCAGTCAGTTGAACATTCTGTGACTTAAGAAAAGCTTCCCTAAATGTTATAGATATTTGGTGGTAAGAAAAAGAAAGTTTTAAATTTCTACTTGCCAGTTCTCAAAAATCAGTTGAGTATTGGGATCCTCACATCGATGACCCACGAATTTACCTATAGTGTCTGCTAATTCCATGTATTCTTACCAAAATAGTAGGAAAGATCAAACAATTTGACTTCTGAAATGTTTCATGGCTCTTTTACTTGTACATACTCAGGGTTCTGTATCAGATATCAGTTTCTAGGACTGGTGAGTCATAAACAGTGGTCTCAGGGAAATCTTTAAGGTATTTGATTTCAATTAGGTGAGAATTTAGAAAAAAAAAATTCAGAGGATGCTATTGACAGTAGGACCACAGAGTTTTAGTTATGTTATATATAACTATATATATTAGTCACACTGATAATTTGCACCTGTAGTAATTATGCGTTATTAAATTGTTCTGATATGATGACTGACACAGAGTAATTTCTTGATTTTGCTATTTGGAGTTAAATACAAAGTACTTAAATTTAAATTAAAAACAATGGTATTTCCAATATGAACTTGGCCGTAGTCAGGCATATAACTTTAACATTCAAACTTTTTTTGCTTTTAAAACTCAATATCTACAAATGTAGTTAGTGTATAAGAAGGCCATTGGCACTTCTTATATTAGGATCATGGATATCGAAAATAATTGACATGTAATTAAACTTAATCATTGTGAAAAGTCGAGAAAATCCCATATATTTAAAATTTGGGGGTAACCTAAGTAAGTTTCTCACCATGTTTTCAATAAGAAAAATCAATATTCAATAAGAAATAGCTGGTGATATTGTGTGCTAGATTAAATTGTTTTACTGTTTTCAAGAAGAGTGGTAAGCCAGTCATGACTTTTTGAACTGAGGAATCACCTGGTCAGACTTTTATTTTGAAAGATAACTCTGGCATATGTTTGATACATAGTCAATGTGCTTTTGAGACCTTGCCTCTAAAACAATGCATCTTGACCTCTTGCCTCATCAACTTTCTGCAGCAATATTTGTTGCCTGCGCATCTGTCTCTAGTATTAACCTTGACTTCTCCCCTGAGCTATGCTTTCCATTTCCCTTCTTATTGCACCTTCTTTTGGATAGACTAGAAACAAAAGTGAGATTCAGTGCATTCCTTAAGATCCTTATTCCTGCATTCTTTAGTCTGCTAGAAGATCTCCCTGCAGATTAAAATTATACAGCAAATCAATGAACTTGTGCTTTCAGAAGCATTGCCATTGAAGCAAATCCCCTGAAGTTCTGGTAGCCAAATTCAATAAGGAAAAAGAAAATTATCCTTAAAGTTTTCACTACCAATTATCAGACACCAGAGAAGAAGTGACTATTTCATGTTTATATTGTTGTCACCCCATAAAACTTAGATGGAGCTTGTGTGCTTCTACTCTGTGGAAAATTTCACAAATTCTTGATGTTCTTCAGACTTCATACAAATTTATAAAATTATGGACCCATAGTTTTATTCATGGTCTTTGATTTTATTCTCCTCTTTAACCTTGAGAAAGATGAAAACTGATTTGAATTAACAATTAATTGACTGACATACTTGAAAATGTTTTGAAAAGTTTGGGCCATACATTGTTAGGTTATCAGACAGAAAACATGATTATCATCCTCCCCTAGGAAAAGACATTTTAAACTTTCATGACAGGATATTGTGGATAACCTAGGAAAATAAATAAAACAATGTTACGTTGCAGTGTCCCAGGCAATGACTCTCAGGAGCCATTATAGATGAATTATTCTAAACCAAGAGAAAGAGACAGAGATACAGAGAGCGAAGCACATAAATTTGATGGAACATGTTCCACCCAAAAATAAAAAAAGAGAGAAATAATGCAGATTAGGGGAATGAGAATTCCTGTTGTGTGTTGTCAAGTTGTCATAAGGGAAGAAAAGAATACCAGCATTATATATATTCTTGAGAGCTTGGCCACCTTTTTGGTAGATGCTTCAGGCAGAGAACACACACACACACACACACACACACACACACACACACACACAGGTATTCATTTACTTTAGTAGTATACACAGCCTAAGCAGAGGGATAATTCATGTGATCTGTAGTACTATCTATATAATCCATTAAGATAGACTCTGTTCGGAAGACATGCATAGATCACACTTACTTCTTCAGATCTGACCACTGACTCACCTCCACAGAACCAGTTTGAATGATGACCATCTACTTCTGTGAGCCCTATCACATATAGAAAACTACATGAAAGGGCTTTCCTTTCTGGAGTCTTAGATAACATCTTTGTAGATCACAGGGTTTGTATGAGGCTGTATAAGATTTTGATAAACAGCCTGCAGGGTTTGGAAATCTAAGAGAGACTTCACCAGACTCCTCTAAAATTCTGAATGATTTCCTGTCTAATGGATTTTTTCAAGAAGGGCGAAGTTCTGTGTGCTCTTGGGAGGCAACAGAGGTTTTCCAGGCACTTTGGGGTCTCCTGATCTCTAATTTCACTCTTTCCGCTTCAACTCATTATGTATCAGTCTCAGGGAAACAAAATCTCTGTGGGATTATGCTCTTGAAATGAAGAAGAAAAAGGAAGAGGAGCAGCAGTAGGATAAGAAAGAAGAGAAGGAGGATGGAGTAGAAGTGGGGGAAGAGGAGGAAACAGAAGAAAAAGAAAAGCTAAATGGGGCTAATTATTTTGTCCTGTAAGCACTTTTTTTCCTATAAATCTTTCCTGGTTTAAAATAGTTATCCCAAAAAGGGCCAGAGCTACCAGGTAGGGCAGTGTTTGAACCTGGAGGCACTATCTTGTGGAAGATTAGCATCCATGATATTACATATTCTAATGTCCTAGCCTTGTATAGCTCCTCAGGAAGTCCACCCAACACAAGAGGCAATAGGACCTATTCTTCTACCAGCTTGCATTTTTCCTCTAGTGACTTGCTAAGCAACCAGAAAAACTCACCCAGGGCTCTGTTTTTATTAGTCCCTAAAGCCTAGGAGCTACCTGACACATGTTTAGGTAGGGTGGTTGTAAATGGCTTTGAGATTACTTTGTTTTCCAATTGCTAAATTTTCAAATAATTTACCACTTATTTTGAGCTCCTGTTTGGCAGCATTAAACATTTCTTAATGAAAGATCTCGGAAAAGGGGGAAAATGTTTCTTGATGCATGTTTAAATGGGATAGTGGTAAATGGCTTTGAGCTTACTTAGTTTTCAAATTGCTAAATTTTCAAATAATTTACCAATTCTTTTGAGCTCATCTTCAGCAGCATTAAGCATTTCTTAATGATAGACCTTGGGAAAAGGGGAAAATGTTTCTTAAGTGTAGAGGACAAAGAGAAAGAGTGTAATAGTGCTAATTGCACTTCCATTTCATCTGTCATCTCTGGTTTCAAGACAGACTGTTCACATGATGTGGCCCTTATTTCTCAGAGTAAGGTTGATGACTCTTGTAGCTCAAGACTGGTGCCTATTGAACTCTCATATTTGGTTGGTTGTTTTTCTTGTAATATAAAGGCATCTAAAGGGCCATCCTGTGTTTCAAATTTTAATTAAACGAGTTATGGGTAAAAATACTTACATTTTGCTTGCTCAACTCTTTAACCTAATTTATAGAGGCAATTTTGTAAATATAATTTTATATTCATTCAACAAACACTAATTGGTTAGCAGCATACAAATAGTGTGCTGAATACAATGCAGGATGGAATGGAGATAGGCTTCTACCTAGTGACATTTACAATGTACCAGGAATGACATATAAATCAAGGCAATAGAAAAATAAAATATAATTCAAACTATAGTAGTCAGAAGGAAAAGAAAAAGTTACTGTGATAGAAAAATAATGTAGATAGTAGAAAAGTTTTCTCTAAGGAAGGGACCTTTAAGTTATAACCCGTGTGATAAAAAGAAATAATCCAAAGGAAGAGTGAGGGTATGGATGTGCTGTCAGATGTATCAGCATAAACAAGGGTCATGAGGAGGAAAAGATCTTGTCCTGTATGGGACAGTAAAGAGTGGATAATGGGAGTTGAGCACAGTAACTATGGTGGGGGCAAAAGTACAGAAGTGCCTGTAGAAGTAAACAGGGTCAGGTTAGGTTGAGAGTCAGAAAAATAGTAATTAGTTTGAATTTTATTCAAGTGCAATTGACATATATACTAACAAGTTTTTTCAAAAGGGAAATGATGTGATCTTATTCAGGTTCTTAAAATATTCCTATTCTTCCATAAAGAAAGATCTAGAAGGAGGTTAAAAGTGGGAGTGAAGAAACCAGCTAGGCTCTAACAATTATTATGTAAAAGATAATGATGGTTTGATATTTGTGGCAAAGCAAATTCAGAGAAAAGGCTGGATTTGAAATGTGTTATGAAAGAAAAATTAGCAAGACATTGTATTGAGTAGATGTGTGAGATAGAAGATAATGAAAAATCAGGGAGGACTTCAGCAATAGAGTAATGATAATAAATTTCCTGTGATGGGACAGGTGGTTGGAGGAACATGTTAGAATGGAGAGACTGAATCAGCAGTTCAGTACTGTACATGTTATGTTTAAGGTACCCATGAGATATTTAAATAATGATTCTAAATAAGCAGTTGGTTATATAAAAATGTATTTCAGAGAAGTGTGAAGTAGAGATATGATTTTGGGACTCATCAATATATGATATCTTTATAGCCTTTTTGAATATATGACATTGCTTCTGGGGAGAATGGAGAAAGAAAAAAGTTGAATACTAAGCCATGATAAATTCCAAACTAGAGGCTACAAAGAGAAGGAGCCAGCAGAGGAGATTGATAATGAATAGGAGAAAGAGGTAGAAGGTTAGAGAGAAACCAAGTTTTTTAGAAGGTGGTAGTTAAGTATGTAGATGATTTGAATAAGATGAAGATCAAAAACTGTGCTTTGTATTTAACAGCACAATAGGATTTCTGGAATTTCACTATAACAGTCCTAGTGGCAAGAAGACATGAAAGCTACATTAGAATGGCTTGAGGAAAGAATGAAAAGTTTAGATAATTTAATGAATATTCATTTCAATACAGTTATCTACAAAAGGGAAAAAGAAATATGTATGTACTTAGATAAACGTGTGTTTTCAATATGTTTCTCTTAGTTTTTTCCAATAAATGTTTACTGACCATCAAGTACATCAGTATGTGCCAGCCATCATATTAGCCCCGGCCATTCAGTGGAAAATGTAACATAGTCCCCTTCCTAGGGGCACTGGTAGTATGCTGGAAAAGACATACAAATCAATTTGGCATAACAAAAGGAATGCTGTTAAAAACTATAATTATTATCATGAACCCTACATACTGATTTTGTGTGGAAAAATCTTTTTAAAAACCTAGAAACTAAAATATTTATCTAGCCCAGTAACATAGCACAAAGATATCTCAATATTACATGTTTTGGAGCAAAGTATTCTTAACATTTGATATTTGATTATTACTAGAGTTTTTTTATTATTATGGGTAAATGATATCTTCAGAATATTATTCTCACTTTCTGGTTGCCACCTACTTTGCCTTTTGTCTCCCAATCAAGTTAGATAACCACATAGAGAAATATCCTATGTATCTTTTATAGAACACAGAATCTGTTAATATCTTAATGAGGAAAACAGAAACCATAGAGAGAATTGGACATACAGTTGAAAAAAAAGAGAGCTGAAAATAACCAGAGGTTAGTGAGGTAAACAGAGGTCAGCAATGGCATGAAACCACTCAAAGTAGGCTGGAAAGACACAGGAAAGAGGAACAAGTCACCTGAAGGATGCTGGGTTTTTTCTGTATTATGTACTCCTTATTTCTTGTAGAAAATAAGGATAAGCCACAACATTTTATCTTCAAATGTTACTGTCAATAGAGTGAAATATACTAACAGTCCACTGGATTGTAAAGTCATTGAGATAATAGAAACTGTTTTGCCCAGATCTTAAAACATGGTTTGTGATGATTAAATTTAATTGACAGTGATGTTTGTTAAGTAGACTGTCAGAGTACAAGATTGTTTTAGCTTTATTACCTAAAATAATCAACTTTAGCTTAGAAATATTGATAACAAATCTTGACGATGTTTCATATATCAAAAGTATAGTATAGTGGTTTGAAGTGTGGGTTCTGGAGCCTCACTTCTTAGGTAAAAATCTTTGCTCTGCCATTTTCTAGCTCTATTACCAGAAAATTAGACAGGACTATGGGATAACACTGCTTTTCTTTAAACCATACTTTATTTTATTGAAACTATTAATAATTCTGCTTCAAGAGAGACTCATATTTTCAACTTGTTACATATCTGGTAGCCAATAAGCTTCTCAAATTTAATGTATTTAAACAGAAATTGTGATCTATCCTCCAATCTGTAACTGGTCTTCTATAATTTAGTAAATTTGCTTGTCTTCTTTAATTTTTATTTCTATTTTATTGATAGGAATACAAATTTACAAATCATTCACTAAACTTTTTATTCTCACCCCATACATCTAGTCCATCAGCATGTATTATAGGCTCTGCCTTCCACGTATACCCTGAATACAAACTTTACTCAGTATATTCACCATTTCCACTCCAGGTCAGTCTAATTATTTCCCTTTCCTGGATCAGTCCCTGCTTCCCAAATATACCTTAGCTTCCATTCTTCCCCCGAATCCAAGCTCCATTGAGTGTATATTATCTACAGTAAGCTTTTTATGATATCAATAAGATTAGAACTTTCTTATTTCAAATATTCCAATGGCTTCCTATAATTCTCAGAATCAATTCCAAATTCAACAACAAACAAGTAAAGAAGCCACATTATCTGGTTTCTAATCACCTCTGTGACCTCATTTCTACCTACATGGCCTTCCCTTATTCTCTTTAACTGTCCATCTTGCTTTTGTGTAAATATATTAAGCATTTTCCTGCCCGCAGGCCTTTGCACTGCTGTTCTTTTCGCCTTTGATACTCTTTCCTAAAATACTCACATTAATTTATATCCCTGTTCAGAGAAGACTTCCCTGGCCACTGCCTCCAAAACAGCCCTTGCTGTTTTTCCTTATTATGTATTTTGGGATATTTTGTCTTAAAATCACTTATCACTAATTGATATTAATTAATTCAAATTTCTTTCCTAAAATACAAAGTATATAATGGAGAAACTTTGCCTATCTTGTTGACCAGCTCATTTCCAACAATTACAACAGTTACTGGCACTTAGATATTGATCAATAAACATTTGTTGAGTGAAGACATAGAGGGCTATACAATGTCCACAAGAAAGCAGATGACCATATTCTCATAAAGCTCTAATTCAGAAGATCTTATTTGCATATTTTTCCTCAAACATAGATTCAGAAAGAAAATAATTTTTTAAGTCATGATGTTTCATAGAAATTACTATATCATCTTGGTACCTATTAGGTTTTTGTTTGTTTGTTTGTTTGTTTTTGAGACGGAGTCTCGCACTGTCGCCCAGCCTGGAGTGCAGTGGCGCAATCTTGGCTCACTGCAAGCTCCGCCTCGCAGGTTCACGCCATTCTCCTGCCTCAGCCTCCCGAGTAGCTGGGACTACAGACGCCCGCCACCAAGGCCGGCTAATTTTTTTGTATTTTTAGTAGGGACGGGGTTTCACCGTGTTAGCAAGGATGGTCTCGATCTCCTGACCTTGTGATCCGCCCACCTGGGCCTCCCAAAGTGCTGGGATTACAGGCGTGAGCCACCACGCCTGGCCCCTTCTCTTTTTTCTTAATTTACATGCATTCTGTATCCATTATGGTAAGGGATCCTGTTGACCCTGTGTTTTTGTTTGCTGTGGATATTTTTCCACTTAATGTTTAAGTTTTTATACACAGACACTTTATAGTTCTTTTGTTCTTTTATTTTTAGTTGACGCATATTAATTGTACATATTTATGGAATACATAGTAATATTTCAATGGATGTATACATTGTGTTAGTGATAAAATCAGGGTAATTAGCATAATATTGAAGATATCTTTTTTGTGTTGTGAACATTAAAATTCTCTTTTAGCTTTTAAAAAATTTGTATCAAATTAAGCGTTACAAGTGCAATTTTGTTACGTGACTGTCTATATGGCATAATGATGAAATCTGGGATTTTAGTATATCCATCACTCCAATAACAGACATTGTAACCACAAGTAATTTCTCATTATTTACCCCCCCATGTCCTCCCCCACCCTTTTAAGTCTCCAGTTTTTATTTTTCTCCACTCTATGTCCATATGTACACATTATTTAGCTCCCACTTGTAACTGAGAACATGTGGGTATTTGTCTTTCTGTGTCTGGGTTGTTTCATGTTGGAAAATGACCTCCAGTTCCATCCACATTGCTACAAAACACCTGATTTAATTCTTTTTATGGCTGACTAGTATTCCATTGTGTATATATACCACCATTTTCTTGATCCAGCCTTCACTGATAGGTGGATTCCACATCTTTGCTATTGTGAACGGTGCTGTGATAAACATATAAATACATGTATCTTTTTGATATAATGATTTATTTTCCTTTGGCTGTATACCCAGTAGTGGGACTGCTGAATTGAATCGTAGTTCTATTTTTAGTTCTTTGAGAAATCTCCATACTGTTTTCCATAGAGTTTGTCCTAGTTTACATTCCTACCAGAAGCATATAAGGGTTCCCTTTTCTCTGCATCCTTGCCAATATCTGTTATTTTTTGTCTTTTTAATGGTAGCCATTCTAACTAATGTAAGATAATATCTCATTGCAGTTTTAATTGGCCTTTCTCTGATGATTAGTGACATTGAGCAGCTTTTCATACGTTTCTTGGCCATTTGTATGTCTTCTTTTGAAAAAAATGCCTATTCATGCCCCTTGTCCACTTTTTTTGATGGGGTTATATTTTTTATTGTTGTTGAGTTGTTTGAGGTCCTTGTAAAATTTTAAATATTAGTTCCCTGTTGGATGCATTGTGTGAAAACATTTTTTCTCATTCTGCAGGTTATCTGTTCACTCTGTCAATTGTTTCCTTTTCTATGCAGAAGCTCCTTAGTTTAACTCAATTCCATTTGTCTATTTTTGTTTTTTGTTTCTTGTGCTTTTGAGATCATACTCATAAAAATCTTTGCCTATACCAATGTCCTGAGGCATTTACTCTGTTTTCTTCTAGTAGTTTTATAGCTTGGGGTCTTATGCTTAAGTCTGTAATCAATTTTGAGTTGATTTTTGTATATGGTGAGAGATACGAGTCTAGTTTTATTTTTCTTCATATGAGTATCCAGTTTTCCCTGCGCTATTTATTGAAGATAGCATTCTTTCTCTAACGTTTGGTATCTCTATCAAAAATCAGCTAGCTGTGAATATGTGAATCTATCTCTTTCTTCTCTATTCTGTTCCATTGGTCTATGTGTCTGTTTTCATACCAATGCCATGCTGCTTTAAGTTACTGTAGCTACATAGTATAATTTAAAGTCAGAGAGTATGATGCTTCCAGCTTTGTTCTTTTTACTTAGGATTGCTTTGGCTATTCAGAATCTTTTGTGATTCCATATAAATTCAGAATTGTTTTTCCTATCTCTCTGAAAAATATCATTGGTCTTTTGATAGAGATTTCTTTGAATCTGTAGATTGCTTTGAATAGCATGGTCATTCATAAAGTTTGAATATTTGACCCTGCCCAAATCTCATGTTAAATTGCAATCCCCAGTGCTGGAGATGTGGCCTGGGGGGAGGAATTTGGGTCATGGAGGTGGATCCCTCATCACTTTCTGCTGGTGTTGCAGTAGTTGGTGAGTTCCTGTGAGATCTGGTTATTTTAAAGTGTGTGTCCCCTACCCATCCCCTCCCTGGCTCTCTCTCTCTTTGTTGCTCCTGCTTTTGTCATGTGATGTGCCTCCTCCCTCTTCGTCTTCTGTTATGACTGTAAACTATCTGAGGCATTCTTAGAAGCCAAGCAGATGCCAGCACCATGCTTCCTCTAAAGCCTGCAGAACTGAGAGCCAATTAAACCTACTTTCTTTATGAAATACCCAGTCTCAGATATTTCTTTATAGCAATGCAGAATGGTTTAATACAGTCATTGAAATAATATTAATTCTTCTGCTCCATAACCATGGGATGTCTTTCCCTTCATTTCTGTCCTCTTCAATGTCTTGCATCAGTGTTTTGTAGTTTTCCTTGCAGATTTTTCACCTCCTTGGTTAAATTTATTCCTATGTATTTCTTTTGTGAGGCTATTGTGACTGGGATTGCATTTTTAATTTCTTTTTCAAATAGTTCATTATTGGTGTATGGAAACAATGCTAAATTTTGTATGTTGATTTTTTTATTCTACAATTTCACTGAATTTGTTCATCAGCTCTAAGAGATTTTGTGGTGGAGTCTTTAGGTTTTTCTATATATAAGATTATGTCTTCTGCAAAGAGGGTCAGTTTGACTTCCTTTTTTCTAATTTTAATGCTCTTTATTTCTCTCTCATTCCTAATTGCTCTTGTTGGCACTTCCGGGACAATGGTGAATAACAATGGTGAAAGTGGGCATCCTGTCTTATTACAGTTCTTAGAGGAAAGGGTTTCAGCTTTTGCCCATTTAATATGATTTCAGGTGTGGGTTTGTCATTTATGACCTTCATTATGTTAAAGTATTTTTTAATGCCAAATTTGTTGAGACTTTTTATTATGAAGTGATATTCAATTTTATCAAATTAATTTCTGCATCTATTGAGATACTTATATGGATTTTGTCCTTGATATTGTTGATTGATATGTCACATTTATTGATTTACATATGTTGAAACATCCTTGCATGCCTGGGATAAATCCCACTTGATCATAGTGTATTATTTTTTGATATGTTGTTGTATTCAGTTTGCTAGTGTTTTGGGGAGAACTTTTGCATCTAGGTTCATCAATGATAGTTGCCTGTGGATTTTTTTATGTTCTTGTCTAGTTTTGGTGTCAGGGTAATGCTGGCCTCATAGAATGAGTAAGGAAGAATTTCCTCCTCTTCAATGTTTTGTAATAGCTTGAGAAGAATTGGTGTTAGTTCTTTTCTTTTTTTTATATAATTTTTTAAATTTTATTATTATTATACTTTAAGTTTTAGGGTACATGTGCACAATGTGCAGGTTTGTTACATATGTATACATGTGCCATGTTGGTGTGCTGCACCCATTAACTCGTCATTTAGCATTAGGTATATCTCCTAATGCTATCCCTCCCCCTCCCCCCACCCCACAACAGTCCCCGGTGTGCGATGTTCCCCTTCCTGTGTCCATGTGTTCTCATCGTTCAATTCCCACCTGTGAGTAAGAACATGCAGTGTTTGGTTTTTTGTCCTTGCGATAGTTTGCTGAGAATGATGGTTTCCAGCTTCATCCATGTCCCTACAAAGGACATGAACTCATCCTTTTTTATGGCTGCATTGTATTCCATGGTGTCTATGTGCCACATTTTCTTAATCCAGTCTATCATTGTTGGACATTTGGGTTGCGAACTAGAAATACCATTTGACCCAGCCATCCCATTACTGAGTATATACCCAAAGGATTATAAATCATGCTGCTATAAAGACACATGCACACGTATGTTTATTGCAGCACTATTCACAATAGCAAAGACTTGGTGTTAGTTCTTTCCTAAAAGTATGATCAATTTCAGCAGTAAAGCCACCTGGTCCTGGGCTTTTCTTTGTTGCGAATTATCTAACATTAGGAATCATCTGACATTTATACAACTTTTTGGTGTGAGTTGAAAGTGACTACAGAATATGGAACTGTGAAACAACCACCACCCACATCTGAAAGAAGACTTAAGTGTTCTGCAAATTAGATGTAATATTTAACAAATATTAGAACACTAAAGCAGGGATGCCTATTAGGTATGTCTTTATTATTAGGAAATAGACATGTATTAGTATTTTAAAATCATTTTGAAATATTATTTTCTTACAAATAAAAATGATTCATATAGTATAACTTGTTTTTAACTCTACATTTATAAACGTATCTCTCTGGTCCATTTATACTTATTTATACATTATCGCAATTTTCATTCACAGTTTCTTCATGTGAAAGCTATTTTATAGGATATGGTAGAAATAGCCTTTTCATGTCAAACTAAAACACATAAAGATCATTCCTACTGCAAGCCAATACAAACTAAAATAATTTGCAAATCACAAGAATATGTTTTCAAATTTTCTGTTGCAGATACTGCATTTTACATTAGCTTCCAACTAAATTTGACTTTTAGAGCAGAAAAGTTTTATAATTTGTAATGTGACTTCTTTTTTATATCCACATTAATTACCATACAGTACAAATTCTTCATTGGAAAACTATATTCTCAAAAGTAAAAATAGTATTTTGACTTAAAATTAAAGGAATTAAGAATAAATTTGGGCATGCAACTGTGCATATCTCAAATTGAAAGGATTGAGTCCATTTTGAAATATGGGTAAAATTTACTATGGAGATTTAATTTTCAAGTAAAATATTTTATTTGAGCTATCCAATATGTCTATGGAAATGCAAATGGATCTCAAAACAAACTTTACAATTTCTCTTAGGAACAAAGAAACTGAGCTTAATTTAATTACTGTAATTGTCATTTGCAGACCTGCTCCATTGGGCTTCTTTGTGGTGATGAAATAAGGAGAATTACCTGTTTAACTCCCATCTTTCAAAGAACAGATCCCATTTCCACACAGACATATACAATTCCCCCTTCTGAGACTTTGGTCAGCAGCTTTCCATCTATAAAGGCTACTAGAATACCAGCCATAATGGACACTTACCCAGTTGATCAAGGTAAGTAGAAGTGGGTAAGATATTAAGAAGTTTGAGTTTGAAAAAGTTGTGTGGTAAAAGCATATTTTCTGCATTATTAAAATCTTTTTTTTTTCTGAGATACATGATTTTTAGGGGTGTAAAATTAAGCATTATTGGTTATGACTCCTGTTTTAAGTTTTGTTTTAAACAATGTTGTTTGCTAATACTATTTCTGGATCAGTAAAAAAATGTAAATTAACAGTTTTTATTCCACTGTGTAAATTCGAATAGACAACTGGACCTCAATCCCAGCACATTTTGTTTTAAAAGGGCCTTGTGCTACTTGCATCAATGTGTCTTTACTTCATATTCTCTGAGTCATTAAGGTAAATTTATATTCCTATCAAATTATTTGACTAACACTCAGATAAAAGATATGTGCTTATTTTCCTATTGTGAATTATTTTAACAACTTCAGGCTGTTTTTTACATGTCCAATTCTTTAACTTTCTAAATCAAGTGATGTCATATTATAAACAGTACATTGTATATTAAATTCCAAATTTACTCTTCATGTAGCCAATGCCACTTCGGATAATCAGAGTAAGAATTGTAGCCCTTAGCAAGGAATTCTTGAAGAAAAAATAATTTTGAAGGCTATTGGGTATTCTAAGTAGAAATGTACCTTGTCTATTTTTCATCTATGTAATTTCTATTCTTTTAAAAAATTAAATTGAAATATGGTGTTATCTAATATAAACAGAACATTTTGCCTATTGAGGAAGTAAAACGGTATTTCTAACATTTCTAACCCGATGGGTCAAACATTCATTGGTTGTGTCAATGACAAAGAGTTGTAATTTTTCATGTGTTCTTATTCAAAGGAGTCATTTAGTTGGGAATATGTCAATTCTATGTAATGCCATTTGTTCTAACTTTAGCCCTCCCATGGAGTGTAAATAATAGGAATCTTTGCATTTATGCAGTTTGTGAAATCATTAAACTCCTCATGTACTTTTATTAGAAATATGATTTACAGAACCATATTTGTCTACATATAATGGATGTAAGGTGCCAGTGCAATTTGCCTGAGATTTATCCCAGTGCCAAAGTGGTTCGTTTCTGATTCATTTTTCTAACCTTTTTGGCTTTTTTCCTTTTTGTAGGTCCAAAACAGACAGGCATTGTCAAGCACGACATTCTCCCAACCACTGGTTTGGCAACATTAAGAATTAGCACACCCTTGGAAAGCTACTTACTCCAAGAACTGATTGTCACTAGAGAGCTTTCAGCAAAACACAGTCTTCTTTCTTCCGCAGATGTTTCCTCTTCTCGATTCCTGAATTTTGGTATTCGTGACCCAGCACAAATTGTCCAGGACAAAACATCGGTATCACATATGCCTATTCGAACTTCAGCAGCCACACTAGGTTTCTTTTTTCCTGATAGGAGAGCAAGGACCCCATTTATCATGTCTTCCTTAATGTCAGATTTTATTTTTCCTACACAATCTTTATTATTTGAGAACTGTCAGACTGTTGCTTTATCTGCTACCCCAACGACTTCAGTAATTAGAAGCATTCCAGGGGCTGATATTGAGCTAAACAGGCAGTCATTACTCTCCCGTGGATTCCTGCTTATAGCTGCCTCCATAAGTGCAACTCCAGTTGTCTCTAGGGGGGCTCAAGAGGATATTGAAGAATATTCAGCTGATTCTTTAATTTCAAGAAGAGAGCACTGGAGATTGCTCAGCCCCTCGATGTCTCCCATTTTTCCTGCTAAGGTAATTATATCTAAACAGGTAACCATCTTAAACTCATCAGCTCTGCACCGGTTCAGTACAAAAGCCTTCAATCCCAGTGAATATCAGGCTATTACTGAGGCTTCAAGCAACCAGAGACTCACAAACATCAAATCACAGGCTGCTGATTCTTTAAGAGAATTAAGCCAAACATGTGCAACATGTTCTATGACTGAAATAAAATCCTCTCGTGAATTCTCAGATCAAGTTTTGCATAGCAAACAGTCCCACTTTTATGAGACATTCTGGATGAACTCAGCGATATTAGCCAGCTGGTATGCACTAATGGGAGCTCAAACTATCACTTCTGGGCATTCATTTTCTTCTGCTACTGAAATAACACCATCAGTGGCATTCACAGAAGTGCCATCTTTATTTCCTTCTAAAAAGAGTGCAAAAAGAACAATTTTATCCTCATCCTTGGAAGAATCCATTACCCTATCAAGTAATTTGGATGTTAATTTATGTTTGGATAAGACTTGTTTATCCATTGTCCCTTCACAAACTATCTCTTCAGACTTGATGAATTCTGATTTGACTTCAAAAATGACTACTGATGAACTGTCAGTATCAGAAAACATTTTAAAACTATTGAAAATAAGACAATATGGCATAACTATGGGACCCACTGAGGTACTAAATCAAGAGAGCTTATTGGACATGGAAAAAAGTAAAGGATCTCATACACTGTTCAAACTTCACCCAAGTGATAGTTCTCTGGATTTTGAGTTAAACTTACAAATTTATCCGGATGTTACTTTAAAGACATATTCAGAAATTACACATGCAAATGACTTCAAAAATAATCTGCCACCATTGACAGGCTCAGTGCCTGATTTTTCAGAAGTCACCACCAATGTTGCATTTTATACAGTTTCAGCAACTCCAGCACTTTCAATACAGACGTCTTCCTCCATGTCTGTAATTAGGCCAGATTGGCCATATTTTACAGATTATATGACCTCTCTTAAAAAAGAGGTCAAGACTTCTTCAGAATGGTCCAAATGGGAACTTCAGCCTAGTGTGCAATATCAGGAATTTCCCACTGCAAGCCGGCATCTTCCCTTCACTAGATCTCTTACTTTGTCTTCACTGGAATCCATTCTGGCACCTCAACGGCTGATGATTTCTGGTGAGTTTCTCAGTTTCTGTTCAGTAAACTTTTAGAAATGAGTTTCTTTTCTACAGAGAAGAAAGAGCCTGTCATGGTCACCGGGTGCTCTGAACAGCCTCATTGTAATCAGGGCAGCAGCCAGTTCAATTGAGAAGGCACCTGCTGTTGTACCTGACACAGATGGTTATTCTTTATGCACTGCCACAAAGGCTACCAGATCAATACAGTAGTAGGTTGGAGACAGCTATACTGCTGTCAAGCAATCAGAAACTGAACTAGTTCAATTCATTATGACAGATCTCTCAAAGTTTAGAAATAACTTTTATTATTCTCATTTCTTGAAATAGCTTCTTTGTCAGGTTGAACACAATATAACATACTCTTTCTAACGGTATCTTCAGTGGTAGCATTTTTTTTAATATGGGAAAGAGGAAATCACTGGAACTTTCTTGAGATTTCCTATCCTCTATGGCATGGTATATCATTTTTAAATTTAAAGTTTTTTGTTTCATTTTATATAATTCAGAATATAAGTTAATTTCAAGTATTTTATTTAACAAAAGCACTATGCAAAAATTGAAGGAGATAATATCTGTGAATTTGAATTCAGAGCCTTGATATATTAATGACAAGCCAGTTTTCTCATATAACAGTTCTTACTTTAAAGCGTATTTTAAATCACTATTCTCCCCTTGTAATTGCTATCAAATTGGTAAGGATGTAAAAAAGGAAAAAGGTTAAAGAATTGTGTTTACCAGAAAGATAAGATTTTTCATTATTTTAAGAAATTCTATCTTGTGGAATTTTCAAGTGTTACTTTGTGGCAGTGAAATTAATTTTCCTTTGACAATAAACTTATAGTGGTTTGTGTCTGTGTATGTATGGTTGTGTGTTTTTGCTTCATATATTACCCCAACGTTTAAAAGGTTTTAGGTGTGTAATTTATGGCTGAAAATTCAGTAACATGAAAGAACAAGTCATTCTATTTGGTATATCATATATTCAATATGATATAATTTTGTCTACAAAATTTCTTAAAACCATGATAAAATTAATTACAAATTTAAATGTGGTATTGTCCTTGTACTTTTACAGGCTGATAGCTTGTGGTTTATCTGTTATAACTCACATACAATGCCTAATACATCATTTCTCACATATAAGGTTCTTGGTAAATGTAGCAGAGTTAAAACGTCTCTCAAACAATTCATCCCATAGCCACCTCTTGGAAATAATCAGGGCACAAATTCTTCATTATTAGTAAATAAAACCTAAAATTTGGTCTTTTTAAACATAATCTTGCTGCTTTTCACTTTTCCCATTCTTCATTCCCATTGCAACTATTCTTTATTTTGACCTCACCTACATCTCCTAATCTCCTTCCAGTTTTTCTTGCCTTTCTAGTCATTTAGTCATTATAATAAATCATTTGCAAGGCATTTGTTGACATTTTCCAATATGTTCATCCACTGTGTTGATCAGAGTCACATCAGCGAATAAACAGTCTAACTGGGTATTTGGGGAGAGTTTAATATGGTAATTACTTATTAAAATATGGGTAGAGTTTAAGGAAAACTAAGGACCTTACAGTTCTCAAGAGACCAATAACAGCAAAACCAGCATTGGGCCTAAAGAGACAGAGGTAAGAGAAGGACCAGAACCTAAAATGGAAAGCTTCTAGGTTACAGAAGGTGTGGCCTTTGGAAGTAGGACACAGGTAATCCAATAAGAACAGACAGGGAGGAGACTAGAAAATACTAGACAACCCCTTTCCTGTTGTCTTCTAGTCTTCTGCAGGTGCTTCTTATTAACCAAAGCTGTTCAGTAGCTGGAGGCTAAAGCCAGTCCTTTGAATTGATCTCTAGTGTTTAGAGGGTAGAATAAACAAGGGTGGAAAGAAGATCGGGAAGAGCAAATGTTGATGTATTAGAGTCCTACATTTGTCAATTTCCAGCTTGTATTTTGTCAAAATTCATAATAATGGCTTGTTCCACTAAAATTCTTATGGAATTCCTCACCTAGGCTCTTAATTCTTCTAGGCAATCCTAGTTAATTTTGAATTGGCTTCCTAAAATTTTCATCACAGTGATTATTTGAATTTTTTTCTGATCTTTCTTAGCATGAATATGATAACCATCTTATTTGTTGAGCAAATTAACTTATTTCTAACTTCTCAACTGACAAATACCATCTAGTCTAATTAATCTTCTTTCCAGACTCCATCTTAAAATTATCTGGCAATGAAGGAAAGGAAAATAGAAAAACTTGGTGATACAATTGTTCCAGAGCCTTGTGTTTAAAAGCTTATTCCTTATCCATGAAATTACTTTTACACCTTGTCAAAAATCAATCAATGGTATACATGCGGGTCAGCTTCTGGAGTCTTAGTTTTTTCAATTAATCCATATGTCTTTCTTTTACCCAATTCCAAACTGTCTTGGTTACTATAGTATTTTCTTCTTTTAAAATTGTTTTACACAATTTAGATGCAGATGTTGCCATAGTAGTCATTGTTTGGTATCCATGAAAGATTGGGTTCCAGGAACGTGCAGATACCTAAAATGATAGCCAGCACCAGGTTAAACAACTAAGCATTACATAAATATGATTTCTGTGTTGTTCACTCTTGTACACCTAACATCTAACACTAAATGGCATTAAAATAGCTGCTTAATAGTGGTTGTATAAAGTCACTAAAACATATTACTGGAAATAATCTTTATAAAAACTCTGGTCTAATCTCTTCATGTAGAGAAATGATATAGTAGGCCATAGTCTAATGTTCTACAATGCAAAAATCTTGAAAGATTGAACCATTATATATACCTGTTTCTTACACATAATGGTTTCCGTGACACTGCCAAAATATAGAACAAATGTGTAAATGATGAAGGGAGTTGTCTGCTTCCAAAGTAGACCACTGAGTGCTATCATTTCCACCATATGTGGTATTTCCATAATAGAAAAGTAGCTAAGGTAGCAAGCCTATAATTTTAGAGTCCCTTGCTGCTGGTGACTTTCCCACTTTGTATTGGACCACTAGAAAAAAAAATGACACTCTGAGCAACCTCTTGCGATTAACAAAGTGAGGCATCGTGGAGCCACCTCTATCAGCATGATTCTTTGAGTTTTGTGTACTTTTTGAAGTGCATGATTGCTAGCCCTGTATTACGGTGACAGCTCTATTAAATTGAATCAAAGTCCTTTTCTCTGACGTCTTTGAAACTGCATGACTTTGTGTGATTTAATTTAACATACAAAGGAAATAAAATGTAAGAGAAAAAGGGAACATATTCTAGCAATTTGTCATTCTTTTCCTACAGCAATATAACTCTATTTTTTCTACTGGTTATTTGGGAAGGATATAAGAAAGAGCAATCAGAGCTTCATGAACCAAATATTCTCAAATAGCAATGGATAGGAAAAATAGAGTGTTTGAGTTATGTTTATTCCACTTTTAGTTGTAACTTCTAAATTTAAAAATGTACACTGCAGATAAAATTCTATTAAATGACAAAGGGGCATTTCCTCCAAGAATAAAAAGGATAAGTCAAGGTAAGATATTTAATAACGTAATTTACTGCATCATTAAATAAAAAGACTTTAACACTCAATTGATATTTTATTAAATGTGTTCATTTTATCTCTTGTTTTTTCTTTCTGAAAAGATTTACATCTTCAAATCTTTTTGGCATCTATTAATATTTCCTAATCATACCAATATAGAAATAGCTCACAACAATATTCAGTGTCTTAATGCTGAAACAGAAGAGATAGTTTCATTAAACTCATTAACAGTTCAAAATGCCTTATGTATACATGTACATGTATTTCTTACATATAATTTAGAAAATATGGAAAAAATGCATTAAGTGTCTTAGTCTATTTGTGCTGATATTACAAAATACCACAGAATGGGTATTTATTTCTCAGTTTTGGAGACTGGTAAGTTCTAGATCAAGGTTCCAGCAAGTTCAATGAGTGTCTGTTTCCTCATTCTTCACCAGAATGAGGTGTCCTCATGTGGAAGAAATGCCAAAAGGGCTGAACTCACCCCATCAAGCACTGTTATCAGACACTAATTACATCCAGAAGAGAGAATACTTCATGGTCTAAACACCTCCTAACGACCCTACTTTTTAATACTGCAGCACTGGTGATTGAGCTTCAACATGAATTTTAGAGTAGACACAAATATCCAAATCATAGCATTAAGCAACAAAAAGTTCAAACTACTGCTTATTAAAACCATACAGAACAATTTAAAAGGTAAAATTTACTAACCATAAAAGTATATAAATGGACATGTGATATATTAATTTGAGCACTCAGAAATGTAGGCTGTTAATGTTACATACAATATTTGAAAAGTATAAAGAAATTCCAAACAAGGCCAAATAAGATAATACTTAGAACTTATATTATTTGAAAGTGCAAAAGTATAACCAAGAAAGTGTTGAATAGAAAGGGCAATAAGAGAATGTGTATGTTTTTGTAACACATAAAAACTGTAGTTAAAATGTTATATTGCTCCAGAAAATGCTGATAAAAGGAAATAGAATAGAAAGTCTAGATATACATGCTATATATAAAACTACATCCAAGGGGTGATTGTGAGTCCATAGAGAAAGATTATTTACTGAATTCTGTTGATGCATTGTTTTATTTTGAAAACTCGTTCTCTACGTTTCAGGCCAAAATAAATTGTGTTAGGAATAACCACATAGAATTGCAAAACAAAACATTAAATGATCTGAATAAAAGTTTCAACATTTATTTTAGATACAGTGGGTATGTGTGCAGGTTCGTTACATGGTGTATTGTGTGATGCTGAGGTTTAAGGTACAGATCCCATCATCCAAGTAGTGAGCATAGTATCCAATAGGTAGGTATTTCAACCCCTACCTGCTCCCTCCCCAACTTCTACTAGTCCAAAGTGTCTGCTGGTCCTATGTTTATGTCCATAGGTACTCACTGTTTAGCTCCTACTTACACATGAGAACATCTAGTATTTGGTTTCCTATTCCTGTGGTAATTCACTTAGGATAAGGGCCTCAATCTGTATCCCTATTGCTGCCAAGGACATGATTTTGTTCTTTTTATGGCTGTGTAGTATTCAATGATGTATACGCACCACCTTTTATACAGTCCATCATTGACTGACACCTGGGTTGGTTCCGTGTCTTTGCTGTTATGAATAGTGCAGTAATGAACATGCAAATGTATGTGTCTTTTTAGTAAAACTATTTTATTTTGAGTATATATCCAGTAACGATATTGCTGGGTCAAATAATAGTATTTATTTAATCTCAAAATTGAAAATTTTTAACTGTGAAAGCAAAATTAGAAAATTATAAATTAAATGTTGATAGTGAGTACATTTTATAGTACATTAACTAAAAGTAATACCTTTCTAAGCCAAAAAATGATCTTAAGCATCGTTAAAGAAAATATATGCAGCCATGTTTTACCTTACAAGACAGACATATGATTATTAAGTGTTCTTTTAAATTGATGGCAAAATGCTGACCACTAGAACAGTAAAACAATTTGCAAATAAAAACTATATGCAGTAAAATATATTCAAAAATTATTAAGAGCAACTCAGAGTATCAAATTCAAAATGTGATACAAATTTTAACTACCTATTTGTTAGTCTTTTTTTTTCCAATTGTAGTGGTCTGAATTAGGAAAGTCACAGTGGAGGCACTCTATTGGTGGGAGAGTAAGTTGTCACCATCTTTCTGGAGGATTATTTGTTAATAAAAAATTTAAAAGCATTAAAATATAATTTCAATTTTAGAAAATTATTACTGATATATTAAATATTATATTAAAATTTTAAAAATTGGAAAACAACTATTATCATAATATGGTGGCTTTATTAAATACTGACATGGAAAATTGTTTCTCTCTTCCTATAGGAGAAAATGTAAAACCATGTATACAACCTATTCTAAATACATGTATACATGCACACCACACATATGCAACCTAATTCTTCCAGAACCTTAATGTTGTTTTTAATATTTACTTTTATTTTTTACATGCTTTACATATTACTATATACTTTTTATCAGAACAAAATATGTTTTTGCAAATATGTGTTTTATTGAGATATTAAGAATATTTCAAAAAGCATATTTGATCATTTTATTCATGTTAGATTAAAATAAACTACAAGAATTTTGAGAAATATATTCATATAGAAAATTATTGTAAGTCATAGCATTATAATAGTTGACAGGAAATCAATTGAAAAAAGTATAATATATATCTTGCATGGAACACAGAGATATATTTTATGTCCAAACATGCCATCTACATATTTTTAATGAAATTATTATGTTTATGTTAAAATCATTAATCACATTTCTACAGTATTATTTACGTTTTAGTGAAATTAGAAGAAAAATTGAGTGGAATTAATCACATTTTTTTTTTTGAGGCAGAATCTCATTCTTGTTGCCCAGGCTGGAGTGCGATGGTGCAATCTCGACTCACTGCAACCTCTGCCTCCCAGGTTCAAGCAATTCTCCTGCCTCAGCCTCCTGAGTAGCTGGGATAACAGGCATCTGTCACCACGCCTGGCTAATTTTGTATTTTTAGTAGAGATGGGGTTTCTCCATGTTGGTCAAGCTGGTCTTGAACTCCTAACCTCAGGTGATAAGCCCACCTTGGCCTCCCAAAGTGTTGGGATAACAGGCGTGAGCTACTGTGCCTGGCCTAATCACATCATTTTATTCAATATTCAAGTGTTCATTGATGGTCTACTTTGTGACAGGCACCAGTCACCACTATGATTGTTTGTTTGTTTGCCTGCTTGCTTATTTGGGCCCTGAAGTGTTCAAATATGAGCTGTAACTCTTTAACACAATAACATCATTTTTCTTTTCTACGTATTTTGAATCATATGTTTATATCCTAGGGTTTTTTTTGAATAATGTTTATGTCCCAGGGTTTTCAAACTCCTCATTCCTATATTTACATTTTATAAACCAACAAATAAGGAAAAAGTTTTCCTTCTGATTAAAACTATTAAACACCAAAGAAGATGTCCACCCTACAAGTAAGATGTAGACACTTCCAACCATACCTCTCCAAGTTACTTTACTACATTAAAAGTCACTCAGAACCCTTTTCCTGTGGCCAAGGAAGTATTTGCATGGAAGACAGAATCTTTTGTAACAATATATAATGTCACTTTTGTTCTAACTTACTTAAAATATATACAATTAACCTCATTTGGAACTAACCCAGCAATGAATGCTGCTGGTGTTCCTACAGGGCCAACTGTATCTGCTGAAACCCAACACACAGGAGCAATAAGATCAGAAGTAAAATCCTGGCATTTTCTTTCCTGTACATCTGCTAGCACCTTCCTAACAAATGAAAGCCCCGTGCTTTTGTGTTGTGCTAGTTTGTACTATTCCAGATCATTCATTATTTGCATTTCATTCCCACTAGTCACTGCATGGAATAGTGTTATTGACATTCTATAGAGAATACAGTAGAGTGATTGTGATAGTTTAATAATACAAACTTTTTTGTGCATTCTACAGTTCTTTGGTTTTGAAATACTTTCATTTTCATTGCTGAATACCCATCTCAGTGGTACATGACCTTGGAAAAATAGCAAGCAAAAAAAAAAAAAAAGACCAAGGATTGGCAAACTATAGCCTGCAGGCCAAATCTGACCCATTCCTTGTTTTTGGAAAGACAATTTTACTGGAACACAGCTATAACTATACCAATTCATGTACATCAGCAGTCCCCAAAATTTCTGGCACCAGGGACCAGTTTCGTGGAAGACAGTTTTTCCATGGGGGGCTAGGGGATGGTTTTGGGATGAAACTGCTCTACTTCAGATCACCAGGCATTAGTTAGATTCTCATCAGAAGCATGCAACCTAGATCCCTCACATGTGCAGTTCACAACGGGGTTCACCTCCAATGAGAATCTAATGTGGCTGTTGATCTGATAGGAGGCTCACCTCCTGCTATGCAGCCCAGTTCCTAACAGGCCACAGACAGGTACCAATCCATGGCCCAGGGGTTGGAGACCACTGGTTTACATATTATCTATGACTAATTTTGTACAATGACAACAAAGTTGAATAGTTGTGACAGAGGTTGTGTCACACATAGCAAGCCCAGAATACTTACTATGTTCTTCTTTACAGGAAAACTTGCCAGCATCTGATATAACGATATGGGTAAATTTTGACAATTCTCAGTTTGGTTTATTTTACTTTTCTGGCCAAGTTTTTAGTATCAGCCATAAATGGACTCAGAAAAGTTCAGATTTCAGACCTACTTAATCCTATTGTTCTATCTCAAGTTACAATGTCCCTGTCTTCTCTACCACTCTGATGGCGCCCTATCATAAAGACATAGACAGTGGTAGACACTCATTATCTGCCCTTCGTGAAGCCCTTAGATCTATCCAGTGTGGGCTTCAGGGGTGTGTGACCTCAGAAGGACTTGACTTTTGGTGGAGCCACAGTATGTAATAGCTCAGTGAGACTCGAGTACAACGTAAGGGCATTATACAAGCCACTGGCTTCAGTGTTTCCACTGTTGTGATAAGAATAACATGCACGTATGAACCATGAAATATGAATTATGTAATTTTGATGTTTAATTCTTAAATTATATTTGTCATTAAAGCTGGCATTATGCAACATAAAGATAAATGGTAGTATTTATGCCAATATTTGAAAATTTTTCTTACATAGAATGACATTAAACAGCAAATAAAATACCATAAAATGATTAGATAAAGACCATAAAACAAAGGAAAAACTTTATATCTAATTACCTGTAACGGTACATTTTCTCTACTTTTTTGAACAAATGGTTCTGATTTTCATTTTCAACTCAGCCCAGAACATTTTGTATGTAGCTCGGTCCATGGTGCCACTATTTTGTAATTTCCTTCCCTACTCTACCACCCCAGTTTTATGCACAGACTCCTCTTCACATGCTGACCACTTAAATGTTAGAATCCTCCAACATTTGCTCTTAGATGTTTCCCATCACTCTCTTTCTCTCTTCCTCCTCTCTTTCCACTCATCTTTAATTCTTTAGTCAATTCTTATTCCTTTATTCCGCAATTTGTCTTTGCACTTTCACTCATAGCTTCAAATATCTGCAGAGATATATACTTTCTTATTTTGTACTATTTATTGTGTTTCACCTGTAAGTCTCTCAATACTTTAAACTTGAGATAAAATTGTAATCTTCCCAATACCAAAAATCTTCATCTCTCTCCCTACCCATATTTCCTTTTCCCTGATTCATCTCTCATATGAAATTTACATCCATCTGGATTTCTAAACTTCAGGGTAAACTTTATCAAAAATACTATGAATTATATTTAGGAATTCTCTCATTCAGCTTTTTATGTCTGTTTATTACAACTCCAGTTTTGGCTTGTATGATCTCTCTTGAAATAATGCAGTTCTCTCTAAATGGACAATTTCTAGTCTCTAGTCTTTCTATTCCGCCTTCCACATTATTTTCAGAGGTTTAAAAAATAATATACACATAAACATATTATTTTCTTTCCTCTATTTTAAAATTTACAAGAGTTATTCTTTTTTATGAGAAAAGGTTTAAAATCCTAAGCATTCCAACTAGTATATTCAACCTTGATTGCATCATCTAAAGTCATTCTCTACCACTCATTTCTAACCTGTTTTATGATTCACTATTCCTCAGTCCTGTCATACAGTTGCACAACTCTGCACTTCAGTGCTCATAGTCCCTTCTCATGAATGCCCTTTATTGCCCAGTCTATCAGAATTCCTGTCCTAAGGCCCAATTCAAATGCCACTGCCTATTGGAAGACTTCTGTGAAAAAAACCTTGAAGATTTAATTTTTCCCTTTATCCTTCTCCTATAGAATATTGTGCATAACTCAATGTCACCTTGACTTTGGTCATTTGTTGTTTCTGTTAGCTTCCCTCAGCAGTATTTGGGCTTTTTCAGGAGGAGTTATATGTTAATAGACATAATACTTTATCCAAAGCTTTGCTGTAAGAATGGAGATCCCAGAAAGGCTGTATGTCATCTATCTTAAAAATTGTCACAAAGATTTATCAAGTTAATATAGGTTAAGAAGGCTTAGCTATGAAAGCTTCTATGAACAGAGCAACATAAGCTATAAAAATGTTGAAGTCTAGGAATGGAAAACACCCTGGGACTTAAAAAAATAAATAAATATAATGTGCCTGGTTCCTAAGGAAGAAGTTGGGTGGCTCAATATACAGTAATCCCAATAAATTATCAACTTAATGATGGCTAAGAGTGACTTTGAACAGGTCAATGATTTGATACCACAAGACTCCAGGCAGCTAGTGAGAGATGTAAAGGTAAGAGATCATAGCTTATTTCAAAGTAACCGGCCAGTATAGTGCTTGATTCCAGATGTCCAGAAAGCAGGATTCACGTAGGAAAGAGCTGTCTGTTCTTGAGCAAAGATTCAGTACAGCAGAATTTCAGGACTTAATATCAGTTCTACACTGAGAATATGAATGAGAATGGGCATTTTCATGTTCTAAGCAGAGGACCTAAGCCAATAACCCTGTCTGTGACCTGGTCCAGTGATAATAAGGCTTGTGGAGGACATTTATAAGGAGGAAATGGTTTGACCAAGAAACAACACAGATACTCAGTGGGCATCTTTAGAAATCATTGAAATGAGGACAAAAATTCCTGGTTTCAAGGATAATTATAATAGTAACTGGCATTTATTTAATACCTGCTTCATACATGAGAATGATCTGGGGTTGAAGATTTGGTCTCTATACAACTTTCCAGATGATATAAAGGCAAAGACTATCTTGGCTCAGGTTCCAGTGAGTTGGCATTGGAATTTGAGTGTGTGAAATCCAGATATCATGGATTTTTCCTTCCAATATACTGTTTGAGGAAGGAAGTGAAGTTCTGCTTATCATTTTTGTCCTTCAGGCCTTCAGTGACTTTCCTGCTAGGGCAGATCTTAGCTGGGTCTTCTAGTGAAGAGCATCTCTCACTCCAGGTATTGAGAAAGGCCAGGGCAGAATTGATTAAAGCAAGGGAGCAGGGATCAAAACAGGAATAAAGACCTGAGACACATTCTTTCGCCCATGGGTAGGACCAACATACCTAATTCTGCGAATGAGGAGAAGAACTTGCTTCTCCAGAGACTTTTTAAATTCTGTTTACTAATGTAAGTCACTTGTACATAGAAAATTAATGAAAAGATATTTCTGTTGCCTCCCAAATCTATTTATACTTGAAGCATGTGGTGCAGTATGACAAGTTGTCACTTTAATAGGCATCAATCAGCAATATTTTGAAATGGTATTTAATGTCAGTAATTAAGATATTACTTAAACCCCTCAACAGTGTTATCGCCTAAGTGTAATAGTGATTATCATAAAATGTGTTCTTCCATAATAACCATGTTTCACTAGCAGCATATTTTATTGTGAATACACCATGTCCTGGACTCCATAGTTAGTGATACATTGCTAAACAAGAAAACAAGACAGAAATTTTATGCCCTCTGGAGCTTAACTTCTAGTGGAGAGAGACAGATAATAAACACTAAGCATAAAACACACACACACACCACACACACACACACACACACACAAAGAGAGAGAGAAAGAGAATGTGATAAAAGAAAAAGTAGAAGTAGAACAAGTGTGGGGTGTCACAAGTTCTGGGTTGAAGAGTGAGTGACAACACTGTTACATTCTACCATCAGGATTGATCTCTTTGACGAAGACAACTTGAAGAGGATGAGAGCTAGCTGTGTAGCTATAGGGGAGAAGAAAAGCCCACAGAGCAAAAAGCCAGTACTGTGTTAATGTAGGCATGTATTGACATTTTCTGGGATCATCAGGGGCGACAGTGTGGAAGAGCAGGCAAGCAAGGTAGAGACTTGTGGAGGATGAAGTCACATATATAATGGGGGAGAGGAGATTCTGATAATTTTAGGCAATTTTAAGACCTTGTTTTGTATTCTGAGTGGAAATAAAGACTTATTCCAGGGGTTTAAGCAGAGAAGTGAAATTATTTGAGTGACCACTCTGGCTATACTATGGAGAACAGATCAGTGTGTGTGAGGTTTGGGCAGGAATACACAAAGGGAGAATAGTTAAGAGGCTAATGCCCTAATCCAGGCTAGAAATGGCCATGGCTCAGTCTAGTCTGTCAGCATGAAAGCTTGAGAAATGGTCAGATTCTGGATATGTTTTGAAGGTTGAGTCAATGTAATTTTCTGATGCATTGGATTATTTTTATTTTGATAATCAATTTTGTGAAGCAGAGAGAAGCATCTTAAGCCACCCTCTAAGGACAAATAAAGGAAAATAATGCAAACCAATTTTTAGACACGCTACAAGTAGGCTTATCAGAAATTTTTATCAGCTATAAAACTGTCTCTAACAACAGCTCTATTATAAAGCGAAACTCTGATAAGTGTATAATGACATTCCTTATTACAACCCTGAGGCACAGAAAGAACCTCTGATTTCTGCATCTGCCAAGAGTTGATAAGTCGTGTTGATTCTAAAATATATGTTTAGTGTTGTGCATCTATACTCATTCTTGGAAATTGATTTGTATCTTCACGTTGAATTGAGGAACTCTACTTAACTATAATATTTAATAACATAAGCTATGAATGCCCTGATCATAGTGATTTTTAACTGAAATACTCTATGCATATGTCTGTGTGTGTGTGTGAGTGTGTGTGTGTAGGGTGCATTTTTATGTAACAAAGTCAAAATGGAGTGGAAAGACTTAAATATAATTTGAACGATTGAGAGAGAGAGCAGAGGTAATGATTAGAAAATACAGAACTATAAAATAAAATATTTAAAGAGGATGGTGGATGTTGAAGACATGACATTTGATTATATTTACTCTAAGTCTTAATTGTGACACCAATGCTGGAATAGTGAATATATTTTGATGAACAATGTAACATATTAGTCTTCTAGGTCTGCCACAATAAAATACCAGAAACTGATTGTCTCAAAACAGCAGAGATTTATTGTCTCACAATTCTGGAGTCTAGCTGTACTAAAAAACAGTATCAGCAGGGTCATGCTTCCTCAGAAACCTACAGGGGAGAATCCCTCCATGCCCCCTCCTAGCTTCCTTGGTGGTGGTCAAGCTTTGATGTTTCTTGACTTGTAGCTGCATCACTCCAATGTCTGCCTCCCGTTACATGTATTCTCCCCGTGTGTCTTCACATCACCTTTTTAGAAGAACACCAGTCATAATGGATTCAGTCTCAATCTCACCTTAACTAATTACATCTCTAATAACTCTATTTATAAATAACATCACATTCTGAGTTATTGGAAGTTGAGACTTTAACATGTCACTGGGGGAATATAATCCAATCCATTTTAAAAAGCTACAATACTAAATTAGCTTTCTTAGAGATTATTGTTTCCTCCTAATGGCAAATTAAGCACAAGGCTGATACATCATGAAAAACAATTGCTTATATTCTTCATAATTTAGTAATTTTCTTAAATAAGAAACTATTTTTAAATAAAATTATTTTGTTTGAAAGCTTAAAAGAAATACAAGATTTTTGTGATTCAGACAAAAATTTCATGAATAAATATACATAGCACCATAGATGTGTTGATATTCTTCAGTCTTCTAAAGACCTTTCCCCATAAATATCTAAGTGGGAACAAGTGAACAAAGACACTCTCAACATGTTCGTTTGGTATTTTTCCCCCTCTGGCCCTGGACAGATGTTATTTTTAAAATTTTAAGTATATTAACCTGTCTTAATCTCAATTTTCTCATCTGAAGAATACTTAGGACTTTTAAAGTCACTTCACTTCTTTAACGTTCTAAAAACCTGGGGTTGGGCATATATTCATTACAAATGAGTCTCATTCTCCAAAAAGATGGATTGTGGAAGTTACTTCCAAAGAACAAGTAGGAAACGCACTGATCGCCAAGTCACAATGTTGCTTACATGATTTTGGCGAACTCTCACTGTTCTCAGATCACTTACTACAGGTTTTTCACTGGCTAGTCAAGGATGATGTAAATGCTACCACACTAAAGCAAATGTTAGCTCAAAGTCCTTATGCATTTTCCAAGATTTTTAAAGGTCTTCAGTTGTTCAATTTCAGTGCCTGGTAATATGACAGAAGCTTGGAAGGTGAATAAATCTCAGAATTTCCATTCTATAACTTACTAGCTCTTTGTCTTTAGAAAAGTTCTATGACATAGCCTCAGTTTGCTCATCTATAATATAGGGCTACCACTAATTTTGTGCAGTCATTTTGAGGATTATATGAATTTATCTATATAAATTGCTGTCACAGTGCCACCTAAATGTTAGCCTGTCCCCAAATTTTCAGTTTTTAAATTTAATTCCATATACTCTCTTTAGTTTATAAACTGCTGTCACAACTCATTTACTACCTGTCTAGTTCCTTAAGCTTAGAGTACTTGAAACCTAAACTTGGTGCTTGTCCTGAATTTTAATACTATGTACCATACCTTTGACTTCTTCACTTACTGCTGACTAATTTACCATATTCTGACATTTGATTTCTAAACATGGTCACATTCTTGCCTCTGTTGTGGTTCTGTGTACCTGACCATACTTTAGCCAGGGGCTTCCAATGCTTCTCTAGATCTTATTAATTGCTATTTATACGTTTTAATGTTTCACTAGCTCGCTGATGCTCTGAGGCAGTTCTTACCACCTTCCCTGGACTCCTTGCTTCTGCCATGAAGCTGTCTCTTCCTTCCTAAGAGCCTTACTCCTCATCCTGCTTTAACAACTTGAGGTTATGCAATATCTAACCCCTCCTTTCTATGTTTTCAATTCTAAGAAACTTCAAGTGTAGAAACCACATTAACTTTTGTATTCCAATAATGTCTTCTTTTTTTAACATGCTCTTTATTTTCCCTTTTCTTTGAAAATTTCATGTTTTACTTTCTAAAAAGGATTTTAATCCTGAAGAAACAAGACATGAAAATTCAATCCATATTTTCATGTGGATAAAATTCTGTGTATAATTTGGAAACATCAGATGATAAGAATAACTCTTTTGATTTAAGATTATGACTAGGTGCTATACTTTTCTGTTTGATTTTCAATCACACTCTTATTCTGGGTGAAGTTTCCCTAAGTAGTTTACCATTTTGGTTAGACATTGGATGCATTTTTATCTTCTCTATGTACTTTCTCTCTTCTTTTGATACTAGTGCCTCTATCACTCTCTAAAAAGCCTGACCAGCTTTCTGTAATAGAAGGAAATAAAGTTGTATTTTATCATTTTGACAGCTGAAATCAATAAAGCAAAATTGTGTTCTTTTAGATCATTTAATATTTATACCTGAAGGCATATAAGTATCATTGTGTATACTTGAAAAACACTTCGTTTTTAAAACCAACAGGGGCTGTAAATGAAATTACATATTTTTCATCAACTGGCTGAAGAAATGTACTTATTTTATTAACCCCACAGGAATTATGCCCCCAATTTTATGTTTGGTTGAACTTTAAAAACATAAGAAATGAATATATCAGTTTTTGTTTATTTTTGTTTTAACTGTGAGCATTTTATTAGAACTGGTACTTCTCCCTCGAGGTTTTTCTTTGTTTCCAGCTGAATCCCATTAATTGACTCAAGGTAGCTTTGGAGCAAATCTTCTTACCCTGAGACTCTATGATTCATGCATTCCATGCTTATCAATATTACATGGGGAAGTGGTTGGTTCTTGTATTCAACCACAGCTTAACTGAAAATATTTTTTTAACTAATTGATTTTTGTAATAGTTTAAGTTCTAGGATACAGGTGCAGAACGTACAGTTTTATTACATAGGTATACAAGTGCTGTGGTGGTTTGCTGCAACCATCAACCTGTCATCTACATTAGGTATTTCTCCTAATGATATCCCTCCCCTTGCCCCCACCCACCAATAGGCCCTGGTGTGTGATGTTCGTCTCCCTGTGTCCCTGTGTTCCCATTGTTCAACTCCCACTTATGAGTGAGAACATGTGGTGTTTGATTTTCCGTTCCTGTGTTAGTTTGCTGAGAATGATGGTTTCCAGCTTCATCCATGCCCCTGCAAAGGACATGAACTCATCCTTTTTTATGGCTGCATAGTATTCCGTGGTATATATGTGCCACATTTTCTTTGTCCAGTCTATCATTGATGGGCATTTGGGTTGGTTTCAAGTCTTTGCTATTGTGAATAGTCCTGCAATAAACATACATGTGTATGTGTCTTTATAGTAGAATTATTTATAATCCTTTGAGTATATAACCAGTAATGGAATTGCTGGGTCAAATGGTATTTCTGGTTCTAGATCCTTGAGGAATTGCCACACTGTCTTCCACAATGATTGAACTAATTTACACGCCCACCAACAGTGTAAAAGCATTCCTGTTTCTCCACAACTTCGCCAGCATCTGTTGTTTCCTGACTTTTTAATGATCGCCATTCTAACTGGCGTGAGATGGCATCTCATTGTGGTTTTGATTTGCATTCCTCTAATGACCACTGATGATGAGCTTTTTTTTCATATGTTTGTTGCCTGCATAAATGTCTTCTTTTGAGAAGTGTCTGCTCATATCCTTTGCCCACTTTTTGACGGGATTGATTTTTTCTTGTAAATTTGTTTAAGTTTCTTGTAGACTCTGAATTTTAGCCTTTTGTCAGATGGATTGAATGGAAAACTTTTCTCCCATTTTGTAGGTTACCTGTTCACTCTGATGATAGTTTCTTTTGCTGTGCTGAAGCTCTTTAGTTTAATTAGATCCCATTTGCAAATTTTGGCTTTTGTTGTCATTGTTTTTGGTGTTTTAGTCATGAAGTCTTTGCCCATACCTATGTGCTGAATGGTATTGATTGCCTAGGTTTTCTTCTAGGGTTTTTATGGCTTTAGGACTTACGTTTAAGTCTTTAATCCATTTGGAGTAAATTTTTGTATAAGGTGTAAGGAAAGGATCCAGTTTCAGCTTTCTGCATATGCCTAGCCAGTTTTCCCAATACCATTTATTAAATAGGGAATCCTTTCCCCATTGCTTGTTTTTGCCAGGTTTGTCAAAGATCAGATGGTTGTAGATGTGTGGTGTTATTGCTGAGGCCTCTATTCTGTTCCATTGGTCTGTATGTCTGTTTTGGTGCCAGTCCCATGCTGTTTTGGTAATGGTAGCCTTGTAGCATAGTTTGAAGTCAGGTAGCATGATGCCTCCATCTTTGTTCATTTTTCTTAGGATTGTCTTGGCTATACAGGCTCTATTTTGGTTCCATATGAAATTTAAAGTAGTTTTTTTTCTAATTTTGTAAAGAAAGTCAACAGTAGCTTTACAGGGACAGCATTGAATCTATAAATTACTTTGGGCATTATGGCCATTTTCACAATATTTATTCTTTCTGTCTATGAGCATGGAATGTTTTTCCATTTGTTTACATCCTCTCTTATTTCCTTGAGCAGTGGTTTGTACTTCTCCTTGAAGAGGTCCTTCACATACCTTGTAAGTTGGATTCCTAGGTATTTTATTATCTTTGTAGCAATTGTGAATGGGAGTTCACTCATGATTTGGCTCTCTGTCTGTTATTGGGGTATAGGAATGCTTGTGATTTTTGCACATTGATTTTGTATCCTGAGTATTTGCCAAATTTGCTAATCAGCTTAAGGAGATTTTGGGCTGAGACAATGGGGTTTTCTAAATATACAATCATGTCATCTGCAATTTGACTTGATTTGCAAATTTGACACAGACAATTTGACTTCCTCTCTCCCTATTTGAATGCCCTTTATTTCTTTCTCTTGCCTGATTGCCCTGGCCAGAACTTGGTGAGAGAGACCATCTTTGTCTTTTACTGGTTTTCAAAGGGAATGCGTCCAGCTTTTGCCCATTCACTATGATATTGGCTGTGGGTTTGTCATAAATAGCTCTTATTATTTTGAGATACGTTCCATCAATACCTAGTTTATTGAGAGTTTTTACCATGAAGTGGTGTTGAATTTTATCGTAGGTCTTTTCTTCATCTATTTAAATAATCATGCAGTTTTTGTTATTGGTTCTGTTTATGTGATGGATTATGTTTTTTGATTTGCATATGTTGAACCAGCCTTGCATCCCAGGGATGAAGCCAACTGGGTGGATAAGCTTTTTGATGTGCTGCTGGATTCAGTTTGCCGGTATTTTCTTGAGGATTTTTGCATTGATGTTCATCAGGGATATTGGCCTGATGAAATTTTGTTGTTGTTGTTGTTGTGTCTGCCAGATTTTGATATCAGGATGATGCTGGCCTCATAATATGAGTTAGGGAGGAGTCCCTCTTTTTCTATTGTTTGCAATAGTTTCAGAAGGAATGGCACCAGCTCCTCTTTGAACCTCTGGTAGAATTTACCTGTGAATCGATCTGATCCTGGGCATTTTTTCGTTGTAGGCTATTAATTACTGCCTCAATTTCAGAACTTGTTATTGGTCTATTCAGGGATTTGACTTCTTCCTGGTTTAGTCTTGGGAGGGTGTATGTGTCCTGGATTTATCCCTTTCTTCTAGATTTTATAGTTTATTTGCATAGAGACGTTTATAGCATTCTCTGATGGTAGTTTGTATTTCTGTGGGATCAGTGGTGATATCCCCTTTACTATTTTTTATTGTGTCTATTTGATTCTTCTGTTTTTTCTTCTTTATTAGTCTGGCTAGTGATATATCTATTTTGTTAATATTTTCAAAAACAACAGCTCCTGGATTCATTGATTTTTTGAAAGGTTTTTCGTGTCTCAAATTCCTTCAGTTCTGCTCTGATCTTAGTTATTTCTTGTCTTCTGCTGGTTTTTGAATTTGTTTGCTCTTACTTTCTAGTTCTTTTAATTGTGATGTTAGGGTATTGATTTTAGATCTTTTCTGCTTTCTCCTGTGGCCATTTAGTGGTATAAATTTCCCTCTAAACACTAAGGAGTGTCCCAGAGATGCTGGTACATTGTGTCTTTGTTCTCATTGGTTTCAAATAACTTCTTTATTTCTGCCTTAATTTTGTTATTTAACTAGTGTGTCATTCAGGAGCAATTTGTTCAGTTTCCATGTAGTTGTGTGGTTTTGAGTGAGTTTCTTAATCCTGAGTTCTAATTTGATTGCACTGTGGTCTGAGAGACTGTTTGTTGTGATATTCGTTGTTTTCCACTTGCTGAGGAGTGTTTCACTTCTAATTATATGGTCAATTTTAGAATAAGTGTGATGTGGGAGTGAGAAGAATGTATATTCTGTTGATCTGGGGTGGAGAGTTCTGTAGATGTCTGTTAGGTCTGCTTGGTCCAGAGCTGAGTTCAAGTCATGAATATCCTTGTTAATTTTCTGTCTTGTTGATCTAATATTGCCATTGGGGTGTTAAAATCTCCCACCATTATTGTATGGGAGTCTAAGTCTCTTTTTAGGTCTCTAAGAACTTGCTTTATGGATCTGGTGCTCCTGTATTGGGTGTATACATATATTTAGCATAGTTAGCTCTTCTAGTTGCATTGATCCCTTTAGCATGACATAATGCCCTTATTTGTCTTTTTTGATCTTTGTTGGTTTAAAGTCTATTTTATCAGAGATTAGGATTGCAATCCCTGCTTTTTTTTGCTTTCAATTTGCTCGGTAAATATTTCTCCATCTCTTTATTTTGAGCCTATACACGTGAGACAGTTCTCCTGAATACCGCACACCCATGGGTCTTCACTCTTTATCCAATTTTCCAGTCTGTATCTTTCAATTGAGGCATTTAGCCCATTTACATTTAAGGTTAATATTGTTATGTGTGAATTTGATCCTGTCATTATGATGCTAGCTGGTTATTTTGCCTGTTAGTTGATGCAGTTTCTTCATAGTGTCGATGGTTTTTACAATTTGGTATGTTTTTGCAGTGGCTGGTAACGGTTGTTCCTTTCTATATTTAGTGCTTCCTTCAGGAGCTCTGGTAAGGCAGGCCTGGGGGTGACAAAATCTCTCAGCATTTGCTTGTCTGAAAAGGATTTTATTTCTCCTTCACTTGTGAAGCTTAGTTTGGCTGGATATGAAATTCTGGGTTGAAATTATTTTCTTTAAGAATGTTGAATATTGGCCCCCACTCTCTTCTGGCTTGTAGGGTTTCTTCAGAGACATCCATTGTTAGTCTGATGGGCTTCCCTTATGGGGTAACCCAACCTTTCTCTCTGGCTGATCTTAACATTTTTTTCCTTCATTTCATCCTTGGGAAATTTGAGGATTATTCTACTTGGGGTTACTCTTCTCAAGGAGTATCTTTGTGCTGTTCTCCGTATTTCCTGAATTTGAATGTTGGACTGTCTTGCCAGGGGAAGTTCTGGATAATATCCCGAAGAGTGTTTTCCATTCTCTTGGTTCCATTCTCCCCCTCACTTTCAGGTACACCAGTTAAACGAAGTTTTGGTCTTTCCACATAGTTCCATATTTCTTGGAGGCTTTGTCTGTTCCTTTTCATTCTTTTTTTTTTGAAATGGAGTCTCACTCTGTCGCCCAGGCTGGAGTTCAGTGGCAGGATCTCTGCTCACTGCAAGCTCCGCCTCCCGGGTTCACGCAATTCTCCTGCCTCAGCCTCACGAGTAGCTGGGACCACAGGTTCCCACCACCACGCCTGGCTAATTTCTTGTATTTTTAGTGGAGACGGGGTTTCACCGTGTTAGCCAGGATGGTCTTGATCTCCTGACCTCGTGACCCCCCCACCTCCGCCTCCCAAAGTGCTGGGATTACAGGCGTGAGCCACCACGCCCGGCTCCTTTTCATTCTTTTTTCTCTAATCTTGTCTTCATGCTTTATTTCATTAAGTTGTTCTTCAATCTGTGATATCCTTTCTTCTGCTTGATTGATTCAGCTATTGGTACTTGTGTATGCTTCATGAAGTTCTTGTGCTGTGTTTTTCAGCTCCATTAGGTCATTTATGTTCTTCTCTAAACTGGTTATTCTAATTAGCAATCCCGCTAACCTTTTTTCAAGGTTCTTAGCTTCCTTTCATTGGGTTAGAATATGCTCCTTTAGCTCTGAAGAATTTGTTATTACCCACCTTCCGAAGGCTACTTCTGTCAGTTCATCTAAGTCATTCTCCGTCAGTTTTGTGACCTTCCTGGCAAGGAGTTCTGATCCTTTGGAGAACAGGAGTTCTGGTTTTTGGATTTTCAGCCTTTTTTTGCTGTTTTTTTTTTTTTTTTTTCTTTTCCATCTTTGTGGATTTGTCTACCCTTAGTCTTTGATGCTGGTGACCTTTGGATGGGGTTTCTGTGTGGGCGTCCTTTTTGTTGATGTTGATGCTATTCCTTTCTGTTTGTTAGTTTTCCTTCTCACATTCAGTCTCCTCTGCTGCATGTCTGCTGGAGTTTGCTGGAGGTCCACTCCAGACCCTCTTCGCCTAGGTATCACCAGCGGAGGCTGCAGAACAACAAAGATTGTTGCCTGTTCCTTCCTCTGGAAGCTTCGTCTAAAGAGGCACCCGCCAGATGCCAGCTGGAGCTCTCTTGTATGAGGTGTCTGTCGACCCCTGCTGGGAGGTGTCTCCCAGTCAGGAGTCACTGGGGTCAGGGACCCACTTGAGCAGGCAGTCTGACCCTTAGCAGAGCTCAAGCGCTGTGCTGGGAGATCCGCTTCTCTCTTCAGAGTCAGCAGGCAGGAACATTTAAGTCTGCTGAAGCTGCCCACAGCTGCCCCTTCCCTTAAGTGCTCTGTCCCAGGGAGATGGGAATTTTATCTGTAAGTCCCTGACTGGGGCTGCTGCCTTTCTTTCAGAGATGCGCTGCCCAGAGAGAGAAGCTGTATTTTAAACTATTACGTTTGACTAGGGAAAGGTCTTGGCACTATGCTCACTGATTTTTCTCCTCCCTTTAGATGTTAATTTCTGGTCTCTTTTTCATGTTCATCTTCCTTCACTAGCTCTGTTTCCTAGGCCTTCTTGTCCATCATGGGTCTTACTTTCCTCTGCTCACATTTCTCAGCTATATGCTTTCCATTCTTATCAGTTTTCTGTTGGGTCTGTTCTTTTCTGGTGGTTTTTTCCAAACCCCATAGTTTCCTCACATAATTATTATGATCAGTGTTCAGTTGAAGACTTAAGGCTAATCCTCTGCAGATTTCTGGAGACCTCTGCAACTCACTTTTCTCTGGTACTGTACACAGAAAATTCTATTTATTTTGGCCTTCCTGAATTCTCAAATCTATCTTCTCTACTCATGGAGAATGCCATGTTCCATTTGTGTTCCCACAATCTGTGCAGAAGACCAGAGACTTTCTCCAGACAGTATGATGGGGTAATCAAAGAGTTCACTGTCATTTCTAGTCTGTTGTCCAAAACATAAAACCCTTGTTTTAGTTGTACTGGTCAGTTTTCTAGTTGTTTAGAGCAGAAGGTTAAATCTGGTCTCTATTATAACATTATGGCTGGAAAAGGAAGATAATTTATTTTTTATTGCTCTTAAGATACCGCTTTTGTAAATTACATTTTTATGCAAAATTCTTACCATATGTTATAATTTTCTTTATAATTCTTAACTAAATTCTAGTTTTTAGAAATAGTTTTCCAAATAAATCACTTGAGACTTCTTTCAGATATCACTCTTCAGACAGCTTTTTCTTCTACTTCCATTTTTCTTAGGTGTAAGCATATTGTGCTACCAAGTGATTCCTTCATTCTTTCCAGTATTGCATTATGTTTATTTTCTTATTTAACTCTCCTTTCACTGGACAGTGAATTTCTTGCAAAAGGATACAATTCTTATATTTATTTGTGTGTGTGATATATAATACCATGCTTGACACCTAGAATGTCTTCAACAACTATTTGTTTAATACACATTAAGTCATCAAATAGATAAATTAATGGCAAGAAACCCATTCTTTTCAATATAGAGAATTAAATTTACACTTAGAGAGTGTCAGTTTAACAGATAGATGTTTATTATTGAATCATGTGTTGACTTTATAAAATGTATTATACTAAATTTTGTTTTGATGTATACTCTCACTCCGTATTGAGAGATGTTGACAAATACTGGTTTCTAAAATGCGTTATTGCATTTTTGGTAGGAATTTTTTTTTTTCTTTTAGTCCTAGCTTAAAAAAATAAGGGTTACACTGAAGTGTATTTTTAAAAATATCTTGAAAGATTAGAATTAAGGCCGGGTGGAGTGGCTCATGCCTGTAATCCCAGCACTTTGGGATGCTGAGGCAGGTGGATCACCTGAGGTCAGGAGTTCAAGACCAGCCTGGCCAACATGGTGAAACCCTGTCTCTATTAAAAACTCAAAACATTAGCTGGGCATGGTGGTGGACACCTGTAATCCCAGCTGCTTGGGAGGCTGAGGCAGGAGAATCATGTGAACTGTGGAGGTGGAGGTTTCAGCGAGCCAAAATCATGGCACTACATTCCAGCCTGGGCAATAGAGTGAGACTCTGTCTTAAAAATATATATATATTAGAATCAAATTGGTGTTATCCTTAATCATGCACAGGATCAAATGCTTTGTAATTTCCCTACATGTTTTCTTTTAATACATGATTTTAATCTAGTATTAAATACTTCTCACCAACTTCAAGCCTTAGGTGGACTGGTGTAAAGCATAAAATATGTGTAAATAGCCAATTTAAATAATATATTCCATTGTTAAATATTAGATAAATGTGTAGTGCCTAGGACATATCCCCTGCACTGTTGTAGTAAGAAATGCGAATTAAGTGCCCATTCTTATCAATTCTGCATTTTATCCAGATTTGCTGAAGTAAACATTGCTTATTATTAACATCAATGATGATACTGATGATAATTTTAATGATGACAATAAGAGTAACTACCATTTATTTTGCAATTTTTACCAGCAGAGGCACTGTTTGTAAACTTTCTCAGAATCATGCACCTAGTCACTGTCAAATACAGGTTTTAAATACATGTCTGCTCCCAGGGTGTCAATTTTTCTTTCCTGTATACAAGAAAGAATACAGAGAGATAGTATACTTTGTTCCATTTGTTTGTCTACAGTTTATTAGTGAGATAAGGTAAACTAAACCACTATCTCATCAGAGAATAATTGTGCATAAGTCTTCTTTCCTCCTTATATAGAATATCATAATGAAAAGCCACCTATAGCTTGAAAAGAGATAAAAATTTTTGAAATAATATAGAAAGCCATGTATTTAGGATTTCTCTTACATTTGTGAAACCAGATTTCTTGCACACACACAGTTATATATATATTGCACTAATTTGTACTTTGAATGCTTGGTGTTTTTTTTTTTTTTAATTTGTATGATTTCTTTTTCTTTTCTTCCCAACTTTATTGAGGTATAATTTTAAAGAATTGTATTGTATCTATTTAAGGTATATAATGTTATGTTTTGATATACATATACAATAAAATGATTACCACAATTAAGCAAATTAATATATCCATCACTGTATATAGTTACCTTTTATATGCATATTTGTGGTAACAACATGTAAGTTATATACTCTTAGCAAATTTCAAGTATACAATACAGTATTATCAACTATAACCATCATGCCACGTATTAGATCTTTTGAACTTATTTAATCTACACAACTCAAACTTTATATCATTTGACCAACATCTCCCCATTTTCCCCTACCTCCCAGCTTGTGGCAACCACCATTCTATTTTCTGTTTCTATGAGTTCAATTTTTTTATACTATACATGTAAGTGAAATCATATGGTTTTGTCTGTGTCTATTATTCCACTTTGTATAATGTCCTCCAAGTTAATCCATGTTGTCAAAATGGCAGTATTTTCTCTTTTTAAAAAAACTAGTATTCCATTATGTACCACATTTTCTTCATTCATCTATAAATTGATATTACCACCTCACATCGTATAAAAATCAACTCAAAATGAATTTAAGACTTAAATGTAAGATCTGAAACTGTGAAACTACTAAGAAATAAACAGAAAAAAAACACTTCTGACTTTGGTCTGGATAGTGATATTTCTCGGATATGGCATCAAAAAACACAAGCAACAAAAGCAAAAATAGATGAGATTGCATGAAATGAAACTGAAAATAGACAAATGGGATTACATAAAACTAAAACGTTTCTGCACAGAAAAGGAAGGCTTCAATAAAGAGACAATCTAGGGAATGGGAGAAAATAACTGCAAACCACACATCTGATAAGAAGATAACATCCAAAATACATAAGAAAGTCAAATAAATCAACAGAAAAAAAATTTACGCAAAGGATCTGAATACACATTTCTCAAAAGAAGACACACAAATGGCAACAGGTGTATAAAAAATGTTCAACATACTAAAATCAGGTAGTATACATCAAAACCAAAGTAAGGTATCACCACACACCTGTTTGAATGGTTATTAAAACGACAATCTGTCATCTACATTAGGTATTTCTCCTAATGCTATCCCTCCCCTAGCCCCCGACCCCCACCCCAACCTACAGGCCCCAGTGTGTGATGTTTCCCTCCCTGTGTCCATGTGTTCTCATTTTTCAATTCCCACTTATGAGTGAGAACATGCGGTGTTTGGTTTTCTGTTCCTGTGTCAGTTTGCTGAGAATGATGGTTTCCAGCACATGTATACCTATGTAACAAACCTGTACATTCTGCACATATATTCCAGACTAAAGTATGATTTAAAAAAGGCTGGGCATGGTGGCTCACGCCTGTAATCCCAGCACTTTGGGAGGCGGAGGTGGACGGATCACGAGGTCAAGAGAGGGAGACCATCCTGGCTAACATGGTGAAACCCCTTCTCTATTAAAAATAATAATAAAAAAATAGCTGGGCGTGGTGGTGTGCACCTGTAGTCCCAACTACTTGGGAGGCTGAGGCAGGAGAATTGCTTGAACCCGGGAGGCAGAGGTTGCAGTGAGCCGAGATCCACGCCACTGCACTCCAACCTGGCGACAGAGGGAAACTCCGTCTCAAAAAAAAAAAAAAAAAAAAAAAAAAAGGACAAAAGATACGTGTTGATGAGGATATGGAGAAAAGGAAACCCTTGCACACTGTTGGTAGAAATGTAAATTGGTACAGCCATTATGACCAACAGTATGGAGGTTCCTCAGAAACTTAAAAACAGCATTACTATGTGATCCAGCAATCCCACTCGTGGGTATATGTCCAAAAGAAATGAAATCAGTGTGTTAAACAGCTATTTACCCATGCTCATTGCAACATTATTCACAATAGCTAAGATATGACATTTGTTTTTTTGAAAGCAGGATGAACTAAATGTTGAATCCATATTGAGATAATAAATGTAATACTTCTGATAATTTTAAAATATTTATAAGAAATAAATAGAAAATTATAAATTTTAAAAATAAAAACTGGTAGATATTTTTGGTTTTCTAAGCTTTAAATTTACTTTGAGAATATTTTATTCCTTTTTTTATTCTGATGTATAATACCTTGTACATTCATTTTATAATCTATGTAGTTAATATTTGACATTACTTGTGACTGTTTGATTAGTCTATGAATATTTCATTAGACTGTCAATTCCTTGAGAAAAGAGACTATGTCTTTTTTATTCCCAAGTATGGTAGCCTTGATGCTCAGCAAAAGTGTATAGTCGATATTTCATAAGATTTGTTGAATAAATGAGTTAATTACAATGATGGCTTATATAACATGCAATTTGACAAGTATTTTTAGACATCAGGATCTGGTTCAGATTTAGTAGACATAATGAGTACCCTCTGTGCATCAATTATAGTAATAAGATTGTGAGAATCCCTTTAAATTCTTAAGTCAAATTTGGTGTCAGAATTTTGAATACATGAGATTTCTCTATACAGCTTAATTATTAATGATTATACTCGTGTTTGTTTGAAAAGGCTCTCTGATGTTCTTTAAAGACCAAGAATTCTTTTTTCATCTGCTTCAAAAAAGAAAAAATAAAAAGAACGCTGTAAACTAGTTCTCTGAATCAGAGAAAAAATATTGAATGTCAGAACTTTAGACTATGCATCTTTAATGAGCTCTAAGTCCAGAGAAAATATGTTCCAGTAATAACCCAGAAAATGTGAGAACTTAGGTGGTCATTGACCTTTCCTAGCCAACCAAATTAGTCATTTTGATTATATAAATTATTAATTTCATCTCTAAAACTAAGTACCTACTTCAATACCTATTTCCAATTTACTATTGTTTTACTATTAATGAATGTACTTAAAGGTAAAATATTTGCATTATTCACAACCATTAAGTCAATTATTAATGCATTTGCATATTGCATGAATTTATTGTCAGAATACTGAGTTTTACCATTGACAGTTATGCAATTTATAGAGAATAATTCATTTGTCTGCAACCAAATGAAAATCATTCATCTATGAAAATCCAGTTAATAGCTACTCAGAAAAGTATCTGGCAGAAAGAAAGACATAGTAAGTATTGTTTTAAATGAAAGAATGTGAATTATATACTAAAAATTGTGTTACCAGTATTATTAATACTGATATTAATTATTAAACATAGCATAAACATATAGAATATTAAAGATAACAGTTTAGAATTCATCTATAACAATCTTCTATTTTTTTCAGATGAAAAATCTTAAATCTTCCCAGTTCAGATCTCTTTCTCTCTCTAATAAATTAGGGGCAGAGGAAAAATTACAGTAAAAATGGGATAATTGCTTTCCTCACTCTAAGCCAGATACAGGATAATTCCACTCAACCATCATTAAATGAGAAAACCAAATTTTTTCCATAATAGCAGTATTATTGAATATTTAAAAGTTAATGGGTTTCCACATATTCTTGAATACTTTTAAACTTTAGGTTCTATAATCTGTAGACTCAGTCTATTATTTTTCCTCTAAGCTTCTATTTAAAAATGTACTTTCCACTGAATTAAAGATATGAACATTTTTACTAAGTAGATTGAACAAAATATTGGCCATTAAAAATATTTTTGTAGACTTCTAGGAAACATCAGATTTGACTAATAATATATTTTAGAAATTCCAGAATTAATAAGGAAAAGAATAAGATAATGATAAATGTCAAAAGTGAAGAAGAGCTTAATCCTAAAAAAAAAAATCCTGATGATGAATAGAATTCTGCTAATAAATGTAGTCTCTAAGAAGGCCTGATACTTTGAAGTCATTCAATTAATATTGTTTTGAATAAAAGAACAAATAAGAATGTGTTTCCATTGGTCTATGTGCCTGTTTTTGCACTAGTACCATGCTGTTTTGGTTACTGTTGCCTTGTAGTATAAAGTCAGGTAATAGAATGCTTCCAGTTTTGTTCTTTTTGCTTAGGATTGGAGCTCTTTTTTTTTTTTTTTTTTTGGTTCCATGTGAATTTTATAATAGTTTTGTGAAAAAATGCCATTGGTAGTTTGATAGTCATAGTATTAAATCTGTAAATTGCTTTGGGTACTATAGCCAATTTAATAGTTTTGGGAAGAATGCCATTGGTAGTTTGATAGTCATAGTATTACATCTGTAAATTGCTTTGGGTAGTATAACCATTTTAATGATATTGATTCTTACTATCCATGAGCATGGGAGGTTTTTCCATTTGTGTCTTCTCAGATTTATTTGAACAGCCTTTTGTAATTCTCATTGTAAACAGAGATCTTTCATCTCCCTGGTTTGCTGTATTCCCAGGTATTTTATTCCTTTTGTGCCAACTGTGAATGGGATTGCCTATCTGATATGGTTCTTGGTTTGTCTGTTGTTGGTGTACAGGAATGCTAATGACTTTTGTACATCGATTTTGTATCCTGAAACTTTTCTGAAGTTGCTTATCAGTTCAATGAGCTTTTGGGTGGAGACTATGGGGTTTTCTAGATATAGAATCATGTTGTCTGCAAACAGAGATAGTTTGACTTTCTCTTTTACTATTTGGATTCCCTTTATTTCTTTCTCTTGCCTTATTTTTCTGGCTAGGACTTTCAATACTATGTTGAATAGAAGTGGTAAGAGAGGGCATTTTTGTGCTGGCTTTCAAGGGGAATGTTTCCAGCTTTTGCCCATTCAGTATATATAATGTTGGCTGTGGGTTTGTCATAGATGACTCTTACTATTTTGAAGTATATTCCTTCAATACCTGATTTATTGAAAGTTTTTAACATTTAGGGATGTTGGATTTCTGCATCTGTTAAGATAATCGTGTGGTTTTTGTCTTTAGTTCTGTTTACGTGATGAATCACATTTATTGATTTGTGTATGTTGAACCAACCTTGCATCCCAGGGATGAAGCCTGCTTGATCATGTTGAATTAACTTTTTGATGTGCTGCTAGATTTGGTTTTCAAGTATTTTTTAAGGATACTTGCATCAATGTGCATCAAAAATACTGGCCTGAAGTTTTCTTTTTTTGCTGTGTCTCTGCCAGGTTTTGTTATTTCTTATACGTCTCAGACTATGCTATTCTTTATCGTCTGCACTTATCTCATTAGTACAAATACTCTCTTATCTCTAGTTTAGACAAAGTTTGGAGAAATCAGACACTCCCCTCACTGCACCTATTTTTATATAACAAACTTTATTTTTTAAATTTTTTTGAGGAAAATTTTTATTATCGGTAAATACAATGAGGCATTTCATGAAATTATGTAGGACACTGTGTACCTACCTATGTATTTCAGAGCGCTGACCTTCAGGTATGTTTTTGAAGTCTGATGAATTAGGCATAATAGTGAGATGGTTTTCTATATTTTATGAACCTTGCTGTTTCCATGGGAAATTGAGAGAATAAGCGAATTGAAAGTGTATATTTGAGAAAATCATTTGAATTCATACATAATGGAACTTTTCTTTAAAGCCAGTGTTTTCTTTAAGAAAAACACCTAACTTATAATTATTGTGAAAATTAATTCAGATTATCTATAATAGATGCAAAAGAAAATAAGGCCAATATATATAATCTTGACAGAGAAGAAAATTTTTGTATGCACAAGTAAAAATTATAAAGCCTAAGATTTCTACAATTGACCATAAAAAATAAATTTCTACACATCATAAGGATTAGTCATAAAGTTAAATTTAACATAAAGTAAAACTAGGAAAATATAATTTAACATATATGTAAAAAATTAGTATATTTTGGTATGAACTATAAAAATGATGAAAAATATCTTGCCAAATGAAAATAATGGAATAAGATACAGAAATACAAGAACAATGATGTACACAAATTTTATGCTAACTTTTCATAATTTTTCTTGAAGTAAAAGGATAGATTATGAGTGGTACGTGAATGTTCTCACTTATAAGTGGGAGCTAGATGACGAGAACACGTGGACTCAAAGAGGAGAACAACACACACTGGGTCCCACCTGAGGGTAGAGGGTACAAGGAGGAAGGGGAGCAGAAAAAAATAACTCTTGGGTACTAGGCTTAATATCTGGGTGATGAAATAATCTGTACAACAAACCCCTGTGACACGAGTTTACCTATATAACAAACCTGCACATGTACCCCTGGAATGGAATGAAAATTTTTTTTTAAAAAAGAGTAGTATATAAAATGTGTATGCATTTTCAAAAATTCTAAGTTGTTTAATCTTTATGTAATACAATTGTGTCTAAATTTTTAACAAAGAATCAATATTACTGTTGAAATACTGCATTCTTTTTAATGATAGTTGCAAAATCCTGTTCAAACATACATCATATAGGAAAACTTTAGGGAAATATATGAATTTGTTTAATGAATATATATCAACAATCGCCACAAAAAAATGTAACTTTGTATTGATTTTTATCAGCTCTTTAACATATGAATAAATAATTGACATTGCAACAAGAAATGCTGCAGTACTTAATGCTAATCAAGAAGTGTTATGACATGTTAAAGTGGAAGGATCCCTTGAGACGAGGACTTCAAAACTGCAGTGAGCTATGATCCTTCCACTGCACTCCAGCCTGGGCAACAGAGCAAGACTAGGTCTCTAAAAGCACACACACACACACACACACACACACACACACATGCACACACACACACATACAAAGAAGGAAAGAAAAGAAAATGTTAAATAGTTTATGGTCATTACAAATGTTAAGGTAGATAAATAATAATGACTTTAGGAAGAAATGTTATTACATTTATTTTTTAGAGAAAAGGTTTGCAAAAATTGAGGAATAACATGAACAGAATTAGGGAGATTAGACCATGTCATAATTCTAATTTTTGTGAAAATTTTTGGTACTGGAAATTGTAAGATCAAACAAACAAAAATATTTAAAAACTGCATGTAACTATTAGTTAACAAGTTATATTGTGGGACACTCTTATCTTTCTTCCTTAGTCAAAGACACACTGCATTAACATGCAAAAACTTTGAAACTGCCTTGTCATGTGATCATAGAGTGGTTTCAAAAAAGATGAAATAGCAACAAGGCCATGTTAAAAAAAGAGTCCTTGAAAAAGTGACACCTTAACACTGAATTCTACAGAAAACAATATCAACATACTAACAGCAAATTTTCCTTGCAGGGAAATTATTTTTAGGAACTTCCTAAAAAGTTCCCAAACTTATGATCCTTGTGAGTGTATACTGTTTATTACATGATGTCTGCTGTAAAGAGCCTCCTTATTTTTCTTCAGAAAGATGCTGCAATTGGTGTATACACAATAAAAGCTGGCCTGGAGATGGGAATTCTGAAATAATCTTTTTTATCTTGAAATCTAATTAGTTTGTGTTTTTTTTGTTGTTGTTGTTCTGTTCTGCTTTACTTTGCTTTCTTTTGTTTTACCATATCTCTATAGGAAAATTTATCAACCTCAGAACTATTGACATTTTGGGGTGAAGAGTTCTTGGTTGTGTGGTCCGTCCTATGCATTGTAATGTTTAGCAGAGCAACTGACCTTTTGCTCTAGATGCCAGTAGCATGTTTTTCTTCCTCCACTAGAATTATGCCAATGAACAATGTCTACAGATGTTGCCAAATTTCCCCTGACTGAAAATTACTCTACAGCAAAAGTATAAGAGTATTTTTAAGAAATGGTTTTGTAAAGCAGAATGCTCATGATTAAAATATTATAAAAATATTTAGTCAGAGCAACAATCTTAAATTGAAGTATAAAAATACATATTTAGAAAATATTTTATTCAACCAATGTACAATTTTAGTTTTCAGGGTTGCATCTCTTAAATTCTATCATTGCCAGTTCAAAAGTTAAAGAGAATTCTTTCCTTTTATCCTATACTACTAAAAAGAAAGGGCACCTTTCTCTTTTTAAGTTAGTTGAAAGTGTCTGTAGTATCACAAATGTTCCTATGGTGCCTATATGAGCAGTGCAGAGGCTGACAGGTCTGTAAAAGAACAGATAGTAAATGTTTTAGGATTTGCAAACCAGAATGTTTCTGTTGAAACTACTCAGTTCTGACATACATTGTAGTATGAAAGCAGCCATGGACAATACAAAAATAAATGAATCTGATTGTGTTCTGACAAAACTTTATTGACCGAGATTGGAAGCAGGCTAGATTTAGCCCATAGGCCATTGTTTGCTGACCCCTATAATAAATTACTGCTTCTTTCCTATAATGTCAAATTTATATAATTTACCGTTAAACTTTTAGTAATAAAGTTAATAGTTAATACATTTTTATATTTGTCCATATATCACTGTGGTTTATTTTATGAAGGTGATTATAATTTGCTCTGTTTTTAACCTTTTTAAAAATATATTTCTAGAATGACTAGACCATACAACATTATTGTAATTGAAAATAACCAACACCATTACTTTAAAGAAAAGAAAAAAGAATCTTACTTGGGAAATAAGATTGACAATTCAGTAATTTTCTCTTAGAATATCAAAAATAACATGTTTTGGAGAATGAAGTAGTTTTCATATATTTTAACATTGAAAAGAACCAAATAAATCTTGAATGGAGTTTAAAAATATACAAATATGCCCAGTCACCAAACTTGTAATCACAAATTTTCCAAGCTTTCCTAAACTCATCCTGAGATCTTGATATTCATTTATTTAATAAAATGTGTGTGTGTGTGTGTGTGTGTGTGTGTGTGTGTATGTGTGTGTGTGTATCTGTGTGTGTTTTCCAAATCTTGCTTCTGGTATCAACTTCACTACTTCTATTTGTATTTCTCTTCTAGGCAAACTGAATTCTTTAGGAGTTGTTTTAGAAAAATCCATTTGATAGTAAAATTGTTTTATGTACTTAAAAAGGTATTGTTATTTTTCTACTTATTGTCAGCTTAGTGGAACAAATAATTGCATATTGTAGTTACTTTTTCTCTTAACTTAGAAAATATTCCTTTTCTAAGTAACATTAATGTAAAATTGTCAATATTACCTCTCTTTGTTAACAGTCATATTGAAAAATGTATTTTTATTCTTCAGGTTCTGCTATTTTACTACAGTGATTCTTTTTATCTATTTAGTTTTAATTGTCCTTGGTTTTCAGTGATAACAGGCCAATATGAAGATCTATGTCTCCAATTCTGAAAAGGTTTTGTAAATTTTACTTCAAATATTTCTTCTCCCTCACCTCTGTTTCACAGCTGCCTATTCTTGTTCCTCAGTGCCTTGTTCTTGTTTCATGGATATTATTTCCTCCTTTATCTTCCTGAGAAGTTTTCTAAAATTAAGTTTATTGAGATATAAGTTTATACAGTATAATTCAACCCTTGTATATATATAATTTGATTAATTTAGATAGATGTATAGTTTACATATAATCAAAATATAGAATATGTCCATTTTCTGAAAAAGTTCCCTCATGCCTTTGTGTAGTCAATAACCCCCACTCAAACTCTGGACCCTCAGAAACCACTGATAGTATTTTTATCCTGATAGGCTTTTCTCTCCTCAAATATCATGTACATGGGACGATACACCACAGACCCTCTGTGTCTAGCTTCCTTCACTTACCACATTGCTTCTGAGAATTATCTTTACTGCTGCATGTACCCATAGTTCATTCATTTTGATTGTTAAATAATATTCTATTGTCTGAATATACCTTAATTTTTAATCTATTCTCCACATAATAAAAATTTAGTTTCAGTTCTCGTCAATTTTGAATAACATTGCTATAAACATTTATGCATACGTCTCTGTGAAGACAAATATTTTTATTTATCATGAGTAAATACAAAAGTAAAATTTATCAGTTGTTGGTAAGTGTATGTTTGAATACAAAAGAAACTTTTAAATTGTCTTCCAAAATGACTGTACCATTGCATTCTCACTAGCATTATGTGAGAGTTCTGGCTTCTCTACATCCTTGTCAGCACTTTTTATTGTCTGTTTTTGTTCTTTTAATTTTTGCTATTCTAGTGGTGTTTTCAGTATTATTTTAGATTTTACTTTTCAGCAGTTTTTAATGTCTGCTTTTGTTCTTGTTTTAATTTTTGCTATCCTTGTGGTGTGTACAGTATTTTAGATTTCACTTTCAGAAGAAATGATATAATAGGTGTACATATTTTCAATATACATGTGATAATTTAATACATTCATGTAATGTGTGATTTAAATGTTCCTAGCATATCCCAATTACCCTGATTTGATCATTTTCATTATTATAATAACTTTGACTATCTTTTCACATGCATATTTGCCATCTGTATTTCCTTTTTGTACATATATTTTTTAAATTTATTTTTTATATTACAAATTGTTTATTTTTGTTGTGTACAACATGATGTAGTTTGAAATATTTCTACATTGTGGAATGGCTTAGTCAAGATAATTAACACATGCATTACCTCACATTTTTTGTGGTAATAACACTCAAAATAATCTCTCTTAGCAATTTTCAAGAATACAATGCATTAACTATAGTCGCTGTGTCATACATTAGGTATCTTTATTTCTTCTACATGAATTAAATTTGGTATCCTTTGTCCAACATCTCCTCACTTCTCTACCCCCCCATTAATTCCCTGATAACCACCTTTCTCCTCTCTACCCCTTCAAAGATTCAAAATATAAGTAAAACTGTGTGATATCTGTCTTTCTGTGCCTAATTTCACTTAACATAGTGTCCTCCAGGTTCATCCATGTTGTAGGAAATAATAGGATTTCCCTTCTTTATAAGTGGTGTGTGTTTATACTAGATATACATATTTATATGACTGTTTATCCATTCATCTGTTAATGGACACCTAGGTTGATTCCATATCTTGTCTATTGTGAGTAGTGTTGCAGTAAACATGAAAGGAAGTATATCTTTTTGACGTACTGATTTCCTTTCCTTTGGATATATACTTTGTAGAGGGATTGCTGGAGCATATGGTAGTGCTATTTTTAATTTTTTGAGGAATTTCCATATTTTTATAATGCCTATAATTGTTTACATTCTCATTAATAATGTCCAAGGATTCCCTGTTCTCCACATTCTCTCCAACACTTGCTACTTTTTGTCTTTTTGATAGTAGCCATTCTAACAGCTGTGAGGAGCTGAGGAGTGGTTTTAATTTTCATTTTTCTGAAGAATAGTGGCATTAAACATTTTTTCATATATTGTCCATTTGTATGTCTTCTTTTGAGAAATGTCTATTCAGATCTTTCCCATTTTTTGATTGGGTCATTTGTTTCCTTATTGTTAAATTATTCAAGTTTCTTATGCATTTTCAATAACAATCCCTTATTGAAAATATGATTTGCAAATATTTTTTCCTATTCCACAAGTTGTTTCTTCACTCAGTTGATTGTTTCCTTGGCTTCCATTTATGTTTATGTTTCTAAAAGTCATTTGTATATTAACCATGCAAGGTCTTTTGTTTTTTAGGGTTGGAATTATCTACTTATTAATAATTATCTAATTTGTCATTGTTATTCAGCATTTTTAGTGTAAGCTTGATATAGTCATGCCCCTTCTTCTATACCTAATTGACTCATTTCTTCACCCCAGGAGACACATATCCTTTTTCTTCAAATTGAAAATGAAACAAATTGGAATACTATCAGCATTTTCCACTTTATACATTTTAGTATTTAGAGTTATTTCTATGGTATAGCAGAAAATGGAATGGCATTACAATTTCAATTCATAAGTAGGGTGTTGTTTTATTTTGCTAAGATGAAAATAAGAAGCCAGGGACTATAGCCATTTGAAAGTTGAATTTTTCACCTTGTCTGATGCAAAAAAGCACTAAGCACCTTTCAATATATGATAATTAAATTGAACCTACAAATATTTTTCAGAAATAAAATAAAAAATCCTGTGTGTGATTCCCTTTGGATGCCATTTCATAATCTTATCACAGAAAATATTTTAAAAGTGAGTTTATTTTATAATATATCTGTATAAGATAATTGTAAGAAGGCAATGAAAACAGGTAACACAAGCACTGGCTTAAAGTCTTATAGTAAGAAATAAGAAATATAAATAAACACATACAGTATATGTATAGGAAAAATTATTAGGAATATGAAAATGATACTATTTTGCCAATTATTTCTTCATAGTTGGAGAATACATTTTCTTTGGTGTATCTACATTTTTCTGAAATTTTAAATGACCAATTACAAAGCTGTAATTTTCTTTTTTAAAAGAACCCCCATTAAAGAATCCAAGACCTATGAGTGCTTTGTTGACACAGAGTTAACTCAGGATACTTGAAATGATTTCAGCAAAGGCACCTTATGCTATTTAAAGCAATTACTTGCTTGTTGCTATAGTGATTGCTAGAGGAGTATGCACATTTGCCTTGTAACTGCCTATGGGGGGGGGGGGGTCAAACAAAAGTCACAGATGTTCTTGATTTTCATTTCTAAAACTGTTAAAGGAAGCTTTTCACTAGTAATTCTCAGATATAAATGTGCTACAAGCCTGTGGAGTATAAAGGATGGGCCTTCTATGCTTGAAGTAGGTAGTAACCTCCATATTACATTGCATACTATAAATAGAAAGCTTTAAAGAAGGGATATAATCCTGTCAGTGTAAAAATAAATTTGATGTAAGATATTAATAAGTGATGAAAGGAAAACTAAAATCGCTTACTATGCTCATGATAATTAAGTATATTGCTGGCTAATTTCTTTTAATGCTTTACATTTTGTTGACAAAAAGAGTCAAACTCTGTAAAATATTTGGAGATTTATTCTGAGCAAAATACAAGTGACCTTGGCCCCATGACACAGCTCCGTGAGATCCTGAGAACATGTGCCCAAGGTGGTTGGGCTACAGCTTGGTTTTATACATTTTAGGGAGACATAAGACATCAATCAATACATGCAAGATGTACATTGATTGAATCTGTACAGAAAGTCGGGACAACTTGAAGTGGGTAGGGAGGGAACTTCTGGGTCATAGCTGAATTCAAAGATTTTCTTTTTCTTTTTTTGGGGGGGAGGGGGCGGGGGGGAATGGAGTCTCACTTGTTGCCCAGGCTGGAGTGCAATGGCGTGATCTCTGCTCACAGCAACCTCTGCCTCCCCAGTTCAAGTGATGTTCCTGTCTCAGCCTCCCAAGTAGCTGGGATTACAGGCATGCGCCACCATGCCTGGCTAATTTTTTTATGTTTAGTAGAGATGGTGGGGGGGGTTCACCATGTTGGCCAGGCTGGCCTCAAACTCCTGACCTCATGATCTGTCAGCTTCGGCCTCCCAAAGTCCTGGGACTACAGGTGTGAGCCACCTTGCCAGGCCAAATTCAAAGATTTTCTAATTGGCAATTAGTTGAAAGAGTGCATCTAAAGATCAGGAATCAACAGAAGGGACTGTCTGGGTTAAGATCAGGGGTTTTAGAGACCCGGGTTCTTATTATGCAGATGAAGGCTCCAGGTAGCAGGCTTCGGAGAGAAGACATTGTAAATGTTTCTTGTCAAACTTTAACAGGTGCCAGACTCTTTGTTAATTCACTCCGGATCAGTAAAAACACCTGGAAAGGGAAAAGGATTCTCTACAGAATGTAGATTTTCCCCGACAAGAGACAGCTTTGCGGGGCCATTTCAAAATATGTCAAATAAATATGTTTGGGAGTAAAATATTAATACTTCAATTTCTTTCAGAACCTGCTGTCATGTAGGTATCTTATTGCTACAAAGAGTCTGTTCTGTCCGTCTTAAGGTTTCTGTTTTAGTGTTAATGCTGGCCAGCTGTGCCCAAATTAATCCAACAGGAGGGAGGTATAATGAGGCATGTCTGACCACCTATTCCTATCATGGCCTGAACTAGGGTTTCTGGTTTACTTTAGAATGCACTTGGCTGATGGCCATGTGCAGTGGCTCATGCCTGTAATCTCAGTGCTTTGGGAGGCCAAGGTGGGTGAATCACGTGAAGTCAGGAGTTTGAGACCAGCCTGCCCAATATCGCTGTGGATTTGTCATCGATAGCTAAATGCATATCAAAACCACAATGAGATACCATCTCATATCAGTTAGAATGGCGATCATTAAAAAGTCAGGAAACAACAGGTGCTGGAGAGGATGTGGAGAAATAGGAACACTTTTACACTGTTGGTGGGACTGTAAACTAGTTCAACCACTGTGGAAGTTAGTGTGTGAAAATTTTTTCTATAAAGGAAAATGCTTTTCACTAGTTTTAGCGAAACCCTGTCTCTACTAAAAATACAAAAATCAGCTGGGCATGGTGGCGGGTGCTTGTGGTCCTTGGTACTCAGGAGGCTGAGTCAGGAGAATAGCTTGAACCCAGGAGGCAGAGGTTGCAGTGAGTCAAGATTGCACCACTGCACTCTAGCCTGGGCAACACAGCAGGACTCCATCTCAAAAAAAAAAAAAAAAAAGAATGCACTTGGCTGAGATGAGGGGTCTCTTCAGTTGATTGGGGGTGCTTAGAATTTTATTTTTGGTTTACAGTTTCCAGATTATTTTTCTGAATTGATTTGACACCCAGGTAGTAAGAAGAATAGGCAAAGTGATCAGATGTGCAACAACAGCTACTAGGTATCCTCAAATCAAAGACTCCTTCTGCCCCTCACTTGTACAATTGGTTGTTGGATTCCTCTGACATTTAAAAAGGTACTCTCCAAACCTTTATTTTTTATTCACCTAAAATCAGATAAATTTAAATAAACTTATTAGGAAGTTACTGCATATATATATGTATATATATATATGTGTGTATATATGTATATATGTGTGTATATATGTATATACACATATATGTATATACATATATGTGTATATATGTGTGTGTATATATGCGTGTGTATATCATTTAAATTATATGTTATTTTCCAAATTCAAAATATATTTGTAATTGCCTAAAAATAGAAAAAGTGTGAAGCTACTATAGCTAGGCTTTTCTGCTAAGCACTTGAGGAATTTCTGTTTCTGGCCAGTTCAAGTAATTACTATTAGAATTAAAAGCAATATTAAAAACAAAGATTTCTCCTTGAAGAGATCCTTCACGTCCCTTGTAAGTTGGATTCCTAGGTATTTTATTCTCTTTGAAGCAATTGTGAATGGGAGTTCACTCATGATTTGGCTCTCTGTTTGTCTGTTATTGGTGTATAAGAATGCTTGTGATTTTTGCACATTGATTTTGTATCCTGAGACTTTGCTGAAGTTGCCTATCAGCTTAAGGAGATTTTGGGCTGAGACGATGGGGTTTTCTAGATATACAATCATGTCATCTGAAAACAGGGACAATTTGACTTCCTCTTTTCCTAATTGAATACCCTTTATTTCCTTCTCCTGCCTGATTGCCCTAGCCAGAACTTCCAACATTATGTTGAATAAGAGTGGTGAGAGAGGGCATCTGTCTTGTGCCAGTTTTGAAAGGGAATGCTTCCAGTTTTTGCTCATTCAGTATGATATTGGCTGTGGATTTGTCATCGATAGCTAAATGCATATCAAAACCACAATGAGATACCATCTCATATCAGTTAGAATGGCGATCATTAAAAAGTCAGGAAACAACAGGTGCTGGAGAGGATGTGGAGAAATAGGAACACTTTTACACTGTTGGTGGGTCTGTAAACAAGTTCAACCATTATGGAAGTCAGAGTGGCGATTCCTCAGGGATCTAGAAGTAGAAATACCATTTGACCCAGCAATCCCATTACTGGGTATATACCCAAAGGATTATAAATCATGCTGCTATAAAGACACATGCACATGTATGTTTATTGCGCCACTATTCACAATAGCAAAGACTTGGAACCAACCCAAATGTCTAACAATGATAGACTCGATTAAGAAAATGTGGCACATATACACCATGGAATACTATGCAGCCATAAAAAAGGATGATTTCATGTGCTTCGTGGGGACATGGATGAAGCGGGAAACCATCATTCTCAGCAAACTATCGCAAGGACAAAAAACCAAACACCGCATGTTCTCCCTCATAGGTGGGAACTGAACAATGAGAATACATGGACACAGGAAGGGGAACATCACACACCAGGGCCTGTTGTGGGGTAGGGGGAGGAGGGAGGGATAGCATTAGGAGATATACCTAATGTTAAATGACGAGTTAATGGGTGCAGCACACCAACATGGCACATGTATACATATGTAACAAACCTGCACGTTTTGCACATGTACCGTAAAACTTAAAGTATAAAAAAAAAAAAAAAAAAGATTTCATGTGCTGTAGGAAGGCGTAAGGAGTGTATATTGGATATTTCCTGTTGGTAAGTTTGAAATCACATGAAGAGTCAGCTACCTTCTGAAAAGTTTTATTTTTCATTAATTTAACCATAAAACCAGAGGAGAAGGAAATAAAAATTTATGAGTGGGCAGGAGAAGTTTATCCCGGAATATAACAATGTGTATAACTGTTGCAGAAAGAATTGGCCACATCATTGATTAGCATTGCCTTTCCTTAACCATCTCACAGTTAATCTTCCTCCTGTGGAGGTGGTTGGAAGGGCTGCTTATTATTAAAATTGTGATAGAAAAAGAAACGTGACACAAAAATCAACTAAAAAATTGAGAATCATGACATGGACAAATTCTAAAAATATTAGTTGCATTCTTTGACAAATAATTATAGCAGTACCATTGGCATCTTCCAGGAACATGTCAGTTTTTGTTTCTTCACTTGAGATCCTTTGCTTATGATACGGTGAGGCAGAGTGAAGGTCAGGTTTTACGTACTGAGTGGATGAGTATCTGTGTGTGAGAATCTGCTTTGAGGGAATATTATCATGGTTATCCCCAATAACTAAGTGTAAGATGCTGTTTCTGCCTTTGGAGGATAGTTTTTGTAGCTATTGAGTACCTAGTACTTAGTCAGAAGAAAGAACCGAATTTGATAAAATGAATAAGGTGATTTGAGTGCTTCTCAAATCAAACATGCCATAGCTTGTAGAGTAATGATCATATATTAAGAAGGCTGAGCACTGTAGACGCTGTTCCTTGGATCCCACATTACCTGAATTCCAGCTGAGTCAGCCTCTAGAGATGGGCAACAGTTGGGAGGAAGGAGCTCAGATGTTTCTCCTCTTACTCTGCCTTAGCAGCTATTCTTTCTTTTTTTTTTATTATACTTTAAGTTTTAGGGTACATGTGCACAACGTGCAGGTTTGTTACATATGTATACATGTGCCATGTTGGTGTGCTGCACCCATTAACTCGTCATTTAACATTAGGTATATCTCCTAATGCTACTCCTCCCCCCTCCCCACACCCCACAACAGGCCCCAGTGTGTGATGTTCCCCTTCCTGTGTCCATGTGTTCTCATTGTTCAATTCCCACCTATGAGTGAGAACATGCGGTGTTTGGTTTTTTGTCCTTGTGATTGTTTGCTGAGAATGATGGTTTCCTGCTTCATCCATGTCCCCACGAAGCACATGAACTCATCCTTTTTTATGACTGAATAGCATTCCATGGTGTATATGTGTCACATTTTCTTAATCCAGTCTACCATTGTTGGACATTTGGGTTGGTTCTAAGTCTTTGCTACTGTGAATAGTGCCGCAATAAACATACGTTTTCATGTGTCTTTATAGCAGCATGATTTATAATCCTTTGGGTATATACCCAGTAATGTAATTGCTGGGTCAAATGGTAATTCTAGTTCTAGATCCCTGAGGAATCGCCACACTGACTTCCACAATGGTTGAACTAGTTTACAGTCCCACTGAGAGGTGACAGCGTGCTGACAGCCCTCGCAGCCCTCGCTTGCTCTTGGTGCCTCCTCTGCCTTGGCTCCCACTTTGGCAGCACTTGAGGAGCCCTTCAGCCCTCTGCTGCATGGTGGGAGCCCCTTCCTGGGCTGGCCGAGGCTGGAGCCGGCTCTATCAGCTTCCAGGGAGGTGTGGAGGGACAGGCGCAGGCGGGAACCAGGGCTGCAGCACGAGTTCTGGGTGGGCATGGGCTTGGCTGGTCCCGCACTTGGAGCTGCCGGCCAGCCCTGCTGGCACTGGGCAGTGAGGGGCTTAGCACCTGGGCCAGCAGCTGCTGTGCTGGACTTCTTGCCGGGCCTTAGCTGCCTCCTTGCAGGGCAGGGCTTGGGACCTGTAGCCCGCCATGCCTGAGCCTCCCCACTGCCATGGGCTCCTGCGCAGCCCGAGCCGCCCCGACCAACGCCGCCCCCTGCTCCACAGCGCCCAGTCCCATCGACCACCCAAGGGCTGAGGAGTGAGGGTGCATGGTGCAGGACTGGTAGGCAACTCCACCTGCAGCCCCAGTATGGGATCCACTGGGTGAAGCCAGCTGGGCTCCTGAGTTTGGTGGCAACTTGGAGAACCTTTATGTCTAGCTAAGGGATTGTAAATACACCAATTGGCACTCTGTATCTAGCTCAAGGTTTGTAAACACACCAATCAGCAACCTGTGTCTAGCTCAGGGTTTGTGAATGCACCAATCGACACTCTGTATCTAGCTACTCTGGTGGGTACTTGGAGAACCTTTGCGTCAACACTCTGTATCTACCTAATCTAGTGGGGAGGTGGATAACTTTTGTGTCTAGCTCAGGGATTGCAAACGCACCAGTCAGCACCCTGTCAAAACGGACCAATCAGCTCTCTGTAAAATGGAGCAGTCGGCTCTCTGTAAAATGGACCAATCAGCAGGATGTGGGTGGGGCCAGATAAGAGAATAAAAGCAGTCTGCCAGAGCCAGCAGTGGCAACCCACTCGGGTCCCCTTCCACACTGTGGAAGCTTTGTTCTTTCACTCTTTGCAATAAATCTTGCTGCTGCTCACTCTTTGGGTCCACACTGCCTTTATGAGCTGTAACACTCACCGCAAAGGTCTGCAGCTTCACTCCTGAGCCAGCAAGACCACAAACCCACCAGAAGGAAGAAATTCCGAATACGTCCGAACATCAGAGGGAACAAACTCCAGACATGCCACCTTTAAGAACTGTAACACTCACCGCGAGGTTCCGTGGCTTCATTCTTGAAGTCAGTGAGACCAAGAACCCACCAATTCTGGACACAGCACCAACAGTGTAAAAATGTTCCTATTTCTCCACATCCTCTCCAGCACCTGTTGTTTCCTGACTTTTTAATGATCGCCATTCTAACTGGTGTGAGATGGTATCTCATTGTGGTTTTGATTTGCATTTCTCTGATGGCCAGTGATGATGAGCATTTTTTCATGTGTCTTTTGGCTGCATAAATGTCTTCTTTTTGAGAAGTGTCTGTTCATATCCTTTGCCCACTTTTTGATGGGGTTGTTTGTTTTTTTGTTGTAAATTTGTTGGAGTTCATTGTAGGTTCTGGATATTAGCCCTTTGTCAGATGAGTAGATTGCAAAAACTTTCTCCCATTCTGTAGGTTGCCTGTTCATTCTGATGGTGGTTTCTTTTGCTGGGCAGAAGCTCTTTAGTTTAATTAGATCCCATTTGTCAATTTTGGCTTTTGTTGTCATTGCTTTTGGTGTTTTAGACATGAAGTCCTTGCCCATGCCTATGTCCTGAATGGTATTGCCCAGGTTTTCTTCTAGGGTTTTTATGGTTTTAGGTCTAACATTTAAGTCTTTAATCCACGTGAATTAATTTTTGTATAAGGTGTAAGGAACGGATCCAGTTTCAGCTTTCTACATATGGCTAGCCAGTTTTCCCAGCACCATTTATTAAATAGGGAATCATTTCCCCATTTCTTGTTTTTGTCAGGTTTGTCAAAGATCAGATGGTTGTAGATATGCGGCCTTATTTCTGAGGGCTCTGTTCTGTTCCATTGGTCTATATCTCTGTTTTGGTACCAGTACCATGCTGTTTTGGTTACTGTACCCTTGTAGTATAGTTTGAAGTCAGGTAGCGTGATGCCTCCAGCTTTGTTCTTTTGGCTTAGGATTGACTTGGCAATGCGGGCTCATTTTTGTTTCCATATGAACTTTAAAGTAGTTTTTTCCAATTCTGTGAAGAAAGTCATTGTTAACTTGATGGGGATGGCATTGAATCTATAAATTACCTTGGGCAGTATGGCCATTTTCACGATATTGATTTTTCCTACCCATGAGCATGGAATGTTCTTCCATTTGTTTGTATCCTCTTTTATTTCATTGAGCAGTGGTTTATAGTTCTCCTTGAAGAGGTCCTTCACGTCCCTTGTAAGTTGGATTCCCAGGTATTTTATTCTCTTTGAAACAATTGTGAATGGGAGTTCACTCATGATTTGGCTCTTTGTGTGTCTGTTACTGGTGTATAAGAATGCTTGTGATTTTTGCACATTGATTTTGTATCCTGAGACTTTGCTGAAGTTGCCTATCAGCTTGAGGAGATTTTGGGCTGAGACGATGGGGTTTTCTAGATATACAGTCATGTCATCTGCAAACAAGAACATTTTGATTTCCTCTTTTCCTAACTGAATACCCTTTATTTCCTTCTCCTGTCTGATTGCCCTGGCCAGAACTTCCAACACTACGTTGAATAGGAGTGGTTAGAGAGGGCATCCCTGTCTTGTGCCAGTTTTCAAAGGGAATGCCTCCAGTTTTTGCTCATTCGGTATGATATTGGCTGTGGGTTTGTCATAGATAGCTCTTATTATTTTGAGATACGTCCCATCAATACCTAATTTATTGAGAGTTTTTAGCATGAAGGGTCGTTGAATTTTGTCAAAGGCCTTTTCTGCATCTATTGAGATAATCGTATGGTTTTTGTCGTTGGTTCTGTTTATATCCTGGATTATGTTTATTGATTTGCGTATGTTGAACCAGCCTTGCATCCCAGGGATGAAGCCCACTTGATCATGGTGGATAAGCTTTTTGATGTGCTGCTGGATTTGGTTTACCAGTATTTTATTGAGGATTTTTGCATTGATGTTCATCAGGGATATTGGTCTAAAATTCTCTTTCTTTGTTGTGTCTCTGCTAGGCTTTGGTATCAGGATGATGCTGGCCTCATAAAATGAGTTAGGGAGGAATCCCTCCTTTTCTATTGATTGGAATAGTTTCAGAAGGAATCGTACCAGCTCCTACTTGTACCTCTGGTAGAATTTGGCTGTGAATCCATCTGGTCCTGGACTTTTTTTCTTGGTAAGCTATTAATTATGGCCTCAATTTCAGAGCCTGTTATTGGTCTATTCAGAGATTCAACTTCTTCCTGGTTTAGTCTTGGGAGGGTGTATGTGTTGAAGAATTTGTCCATTTCTTCTAGGTTTTCTGGTTTATTTGCATAGAGGTTTTTATAGTATTCTCTGACGGTAGTTTGTATATTTGTGGGATTGGTGGTGATATCCCCTTTATCATTTTTTATTGTGTCTATTTGATTCTTCTCTCTTTTCTTCTTTATTAGTCTTCCTAGTGGTCTATCAATTTTGTTGATCTTTTCAAAAAACCAGCTGCTGGATTCATTGATTTTTTGAAGGGTATTCTTAAAGTGACTACATGTCCTCCATGTCTCCATCTCCAGCTTCTGTTCAGGGACTGGTGCTACTTCAAGTGACACCACAATTTTCCTTTCTCTCTCCAGTCTAGGAGTGCTAGATGGTTTCCTGCAGTTCCTAATATGTATGTTCCTTTACTGTGTTCTGACTGGTCCTCAGCTCCTTCTTTACCATCTTAACCAAATCTTTGATCTGAATTCACTTAATTGCAACACTTTCTTTCCCTGATTGTGCCTTGACTGAAACAGTCAGTGTGCAACTACATATACTATTATAGCTATTTCTGTCAACTTATTCCAAATTGTATTCTCTTAGCGAGTGTACAGGTTAAAAAGAAAAATTCTCAAATCGAGTAGAAGGCTGTGGTTTTGTCTGAGAAACCCAAATGGCAGTAAGCTGCAAGAGTTATAGGGACTGGTGAACCATCCAAAACAACTCAAACTGTTAAGTGATTGGAGTTAACAGTATTTTAAAACCCGTTTTGTAGATAATAATTCCTAAGAAATATGTTTTATACATCCAACATATTCTTTCTATGAATAAGAAATTAAATAATCTGAAACTCTGTATGTGATTATGTGCTTATCAAGGAAAATGTAGCATTTTAGAGCAGGGCATATAAAGTTTGAATACTAAACCTACAAGTTTCTCTTTGTGATACCTTAAGATCTCTTAGCCTCTCTAGACTTTAGTTTTCGTATGAATGTAAGAGGGATAATCCTCACAAGTTTCTATGATATGCCTGTTATTATTCTCACATCACAGGATAGGAAACTGATAAATTATTTTCTTCTCTGGACCTCAAAGTTCAATAACTAGTGTGTAAGTGAGATGGATTTTAAGTCTCCAAAATTCTTGATTACAAATGTTTATTTGCAAATAGTGTTTGGTAAAGTTGATTGGTGCTCTGTGTTAATACAGCTAGATTGTATTGTATTAATTTTACTAGCAAACATTTTGTGATAGAGCCTTTAAGCCATTTTCAGAGGTGGCAACATTTTAAATAAAATAGAATCCAAATTTATAATACCACAACTATCATTTGAATTTTGAATTTTAAGAAAAATTTTAGATCCAAAGAAAATTTGTCCCATTATATTTTTTCTATAAATAAAATCATTATAAATCAAGGAAAAAAGCCAATTTCTTTAACTACAATATAGGCAAATCTGTCAGAAATAAATAATCCACTAAGATAATTTACCTCCATTTTAATACTGTTTTTTAAAGTCTGTTTTTCCGTAATTTGAACATTATTTCATGATTCTTTTCTAATCTCTGGTGATTTAGATTATCCTAAGCAGTCAAAGGGGAATACAAAACTTAAAAAGCTCCAGATATTGTGGTAACTTATAATTCTCCTTTGAAACTTAAAGCTATAAATTAATGGCAATAAAAAATAATAAATTACCTGTTCTTTGTGGTGATGTGTCAGGTGGTGGACTTTAAAGGACAAGGACCGGTGAAAGCCAACATCTACTCAACCATGGAAATTATATGACTCAATTATAAAGCTGTAACAGCATTTCCTTTTGAACTAAGACATCAATTTCCTAGGACATTGAGGCACTTGTACCTAATGCATTTATTTGTGGTATACAATTGCAAATTCAAGAGTTTCTTGGTAAAATTAAAAATAAGAAATGAAACAGAAATCTTGCATTAGAACCTCTTCTAAAATGTGACAGTAGAAGCACTCTCAAAGTAATTGCTCTGTAGTCCTTATTATCATATGCCTCCTTAAAAATATAGATGCTAACTTTCCTTTCATGAAAGATGCTCATCTATCCTAATTGTTAGGTGTCTGATGTGCTTGAATGGTCCACATCAGACAATTAATTATTAATTTTTGGTCATTTTATATGTGTTATTTTATAATCATACTTTATTCATCTTAAATGTAAAATTGAGCATTGCTTTAATCTCAGTTTTGGAATGACAAAGGGGACAAGGCTCAAAAACCTACTTTCACAATCACTGTAGACCAAATAAGTTAACAAGAATATCTGGCAATAAATCTTAGGTGCCCAAAATTCCCACTAAACTATATGTCTCCTCTATCCAAAAGCTTTATATTCAGGTAAATGCTAGAGTTCTTGTCTTAGCTAATAAACAGTATAATTGAGAGGTTTTTCCTCCCTAAGGGAAGAAGTATATAAACTATGTATGCTAGTAATAATAGAACTTCCAAATAGGCAGAATAATAAATTGGTAAGCATGAAACACAGTTCTCAGGTACATTTTGTTAGATGATGTTTACATAGATTACTTGAAGTCATAATGGTCACTGTGACAGCAATATTAATATAATATAAATTAAAAAATGTATTTGAATGAGACAGCTATTTTTCTTTCTTGATGGAAAACTGAACTTGTTGATTTGCTCATCAAAATTCAGAGGTGAACTATTTTATTATTTTTGACAACTAATATTCAGAGCTTTCTGATTTCTATTTATCTTTGCATTTTAACAAACTGTGAGTTCAGGTCCAAAAATAATATATATCATACAGATAAAAAAGTAATGACACTTTTTAAAATGGTGTGTGACTAAATAAATATAAATGATGAACCACATTTTTAAATGCAAAGGTCTTTCTTTCTGAGAGCACTTCCTTATTTAATATCTTGTTTCTGACCGTATAAAATGAAAGCAAGATAGTTCTCTAGATAATATGTAAAACTTTATAACTACAAAACACTTCCATTGTATTACCATCTTTCATTCTCACAAATCCTTGCAAAGTAGGAAATGCAGGCATTTTTAATCCCCATTTACAAATGTAGAAATGATGTCTCAGTAGGATGAAGTAAGCCACATGGTAATAAATAGCAGAAATGGAAAAAGAACCTTTCCTGAAATATCAGTGGATTAGGAAGGTGAATGGCAAAGTTGAAAGAATAGCAAATATGGAAGGGAAGGGAAAATATACTTTAGTAATACGTGAAGAAAGAATAGAAAACATGGTATGTTGGAGGCTTCTGAAAAAAAAATGAAACAGAGAGGAAGGAATTCCTAACTGACAAATCAGAAATATTAGTTAAGAGCACAGTAGTGGTGGCATACAGTTTGGAGAGGTAGATGACCACTCTTTTCTCTAAGCAAATAAGTAGGAGAAAAAGGTAAAGTTAGAAAAATCTCAAGATTATCATTTTGACTGGCTAAGCACATTTTTTTAAAGGCTGCTGGGACTATAATAGGAATAATGAAAACAGATATCTTTCTTGAAAATGAGGTATTTCTAAATACAAAACAGAGCTGCCCCTGAGTACAGGTGCCATGAAAACTATAAAGATAACTTAGTAAGAGGCCTGGCCGGACCCCTCCAGAGCCAGCTCAGGCCAGTCACTGATGGAGTGGAGATCATAGCCTTGGTCAAGGCCAGAATCTGTAAGATTTATTAAGGCTTGATCAATGGGCAAAACTAATTCTGTGTTTAGGCATTTTCAATTTGCAAGAAATCAAGAGAACTCAGGATTATTCCAATGAATGCAAATATATTGGGAAGACACATGGGAAAGTAAAGAAAAATTAACTCAGCCGCCGTGGAGCAACAGGTGAGTTTCAAGGTCAGTGCAGCTCTGGGAATAATTTTCATAGTAGAAGGCATCTCTTGATTCTCTGCTTTCCTGTTAATTCTCTTTGTATCATATTCACTTCCCAAATCAGAAGATATTATTGCCATAGCACATTGCCATGTAATATAAAATTGTCATGTCAGGACACTTCAATTAGGTATTAGAAGAACCTGTAGGCTGGGCATGATGGCTCATGCCTGTAATCCCAGCACTTTGGGAGGCCGAGGCGTGTGGGTCACCTGAGGTAAGGAGTTCGAGACCAGCCTGGCCAACATGGCAAAACCCCGTATCTGCTAAAAATACAAAAAATTACCTGGGTGTGGCGGTGCATGCCTGTGATCCCAGCTACTCAGGAGGCTGAGGCTGGTGAATTGCTTGAACCTGGGAAGCAGAGGTTGCAGTGAGCCGAGATTGTGTCACTGCACTCCAGCCTGGGTGACAGACCTAGACTCCATCTCAAAAAAAAAAAAAAAAAAAAAAAAATCTGTACTTGGACCTCAGCATCAATTTCTATTGGCTTTATCATGTGAGGGTGGGGCTACAAAGCACAATAGGTTATGTGTAAATAATCACCTTACATTGCTTCTCTGAACAGGCGTCTGTTACCATGGTTTCCTCAAGAGAAAACTTTGAGATTGGCAGTGTGAAGGTGAGACCCGTAGGTCCTGCTAACTTTCTTTTCCTTAGTTTGGTGAGCTCCTTGAGCAGAGTCAAGCCAAAAAAGGATGTAAGACAGAAGCTGGAATCTGGGATTGAGGTTGCAATAGAAATTCTCCCCACAGGATTTAAAGTTGCTTCCTCAGCTGCAGGCAGCTGACAGCAGCTTTTTTATCTGGAAAAGATTTTGCCTGATATTTTCTCAGACTCCGGAAAATCATTCCACTTGTCAGTGAAGCTGAAAAGACAGGCTCTTTGATATGTAGCAGCAGCTTGGAAATGGTTCCTCTCTTCTCAGCTCTCAGAGTAGGAGGAAACTTTTCAACAAATATCACAAAAGGTATTTCAGGACACAATTATTTCAGAAGTTTAAGACAAAAATGCTTCCAAGGCCAAAGACATTCTTAGAATCTGAACTGTCTAGGAAATTGAAGGGCATCAGAAGCAATGGGCACTTTTTGCTCACCTGTCCTACTAGTGTGAATGAGGACATGCATGTTAGTTGGAAAGAAAGTATAGTAGATAGCAAAAACTCAATATGTTTTATTAATATCTTACATGCCAATTCAAATCAAATGGCAGTGGTTTCTTAGAGGTCACCCTGGAGAAAAATATCTATACCCTTGCATGGCAGAGGGTGCTTATGAACCAGTGGCATCAGCATCACCTTGGGCTCATCCCAGACCCAGCAAATAAGATTCCATTTTTTGTTTTGTTTTTCTGGCTTCTTTAAGACAGGGTCTCACTCAGTTGCCCAAGCTGGAGTGCAGTGGTATAATCATCTCTGCAGCCTCAATCTCCCGGGCTCAGGCTATCCTCCCACCTCAGCCTCCCGAGTAACTAGGCCTACAGATGTGCACTGCCACACCCAGATGATTATTTTATTTTATTTTTATTTTTCTAGAGACAGGGTATTGCTAGGTTTCCCAGGCTGGCATAAACTCCTGTTCTCAAGCGATCCTCCTACCTGGGCCTCCCAAAATACTCATATTACAGACAGGAGCCTCTGTACCCCACTAAGAGTCTACTTTTAAAACCTGTGGTAAAATACATATAACACAAAATTTACTAACTTAATTTTTAAGTGTGAAGTTCTGTAGTGTTAAGTATATTCACATTGTCATGCAGCCACTCTCCAAAACTTCTTCATCTTGCAAAAGTGAAAATCTGTACCCATTAAACAACAACTGCAACATGCACAGAACTTGAGGTCATTATGCTAAGTGAAATAAGCCAGTCACAAAAGACAATTACTGTATGATTCCACATTTATATGACAGTCTGTGTTTTAACAAGATTCTCGGGTGATTGATTTGAACATAAGAGCACTAATTTAGAGCACATCTGGGCTCAGCGGGGATGAGCATCATAAAAGGTTAGCAGCGCAATTACTAGATATGTTATTCCTGGTGGAGTAGAAAGAACATGGATTTTGAGTTCAAATGGATCTGTTTTATAATCCTAGTTCTACGCTTACTAGCCATTTGATAATGGGAATTTAAGTTGTCTAAGCCTCATTTAAAAAGATCTGTAATGTGGTCATAATTAAAACCCATTATAGATTTTTTTATGATAGTTAAAGGAGATGCATGCTGAGCATTTATTGCAGTCCTTGGACACAATAAGTGCACTTAGTAAATAATTTATTAGTATTGTTATCTGGGTGGAAAACACTATCACCACTGGCCTTTCAAATGTATTCTGTACTATAGCAGGATAATAGTCCTTGAAATTTATAAAATCTTGACCTAATAGAAGGAACAATCTCAAATAAGCATACAGAAAATGATTTAAGGGCATAGATATTATGAAAAGCAAAAACACTATATGGTTTTGAATAACCTTGAAAGCCATCTTTATAAAAGACTAAATATGCATACCTTACCAATTATAGAATTTGCCTATTTCTGGCTCCAGAAAGAAAATACCAATGATCAATTCAGAAATCAAAGTTATTAAAAGTTATTCAACTTTAGTTATCAATAGATTTTAAGCAATATATTTTTCTCCTAATGAATTATGAACTAATTTGTCTAAATCATTTATTCCTGGAAACAAAAATTTGATAACCATTAGGTAGTACATCAACATACCTCAAGCTTAAATAAAACCTTGGTTCCCTTAGACCGTATTACCATGAGCACCAGCCAAAATCTTAATCTTTTACTGCATCCTCATAAATCTGATTCTGGATAATATTCTTCTGCCAAAAATTTCCCGAACAATTTTTTAATGCATCCTAGCTATACACTTAGTAGCTTGTTTAATCATGACATCTATGGTATAGACCTGACACTTATTAAATGTCTTACCTTATGTAGCTAAAGCCAATATTTTAGTTAGCCAGAATTGTGCCTGAGATCTCTTACCCAGTAAAAAATCTATTCCTCAAACATGTAATGAAAATATGTTCTCATTCATAGTTAGCTAAACTCCTATTTGATTTCTAAACATTCTTTTAAAAATATTACCCCAGAGGTGGTTGCAATGGAAAGTCAAGAACAAAAGAATAAGTCTATCACAAATAGGAAGTTTCATTTAAGAGGGTTAAGAACAAGAAATGAAAGTTAAAATAACAAAATTGTCAGAAAAACTTAGGGACAACCAAGTACTCATCATGAAGTCTCTAAAAAATACTTAAGTGTACTCTACAAGAGAGATTATGTGTTAAGTGGAAGTCTAATAAGTAACTTTGAGCAGCTATAGAAGGCAAAGTTAAATATTAGGGCGATAAATTTTGAGAGAAAAGCCATATGAATAAAAATATATGTTTTACTGTCAAAGAAATAGGAATCAACAAAATGGACTTTTTAAAAAGTCAGAATGTATTGATTTATCCATGTGTTCAACAAAATAAATTTTACAAGACTTGGAACCAACCCAAATGTCCAACAATGGTAGACTGGATTAAGAAAATGTGGCACATATACACCATGGAATACTATGCAGCCATAAAAAATGATGAGTTCATGTCCTTTGTAGGGACATGGATGAAATTGGAAATCATCATTCTCAGTAAACTATCACAAGAACAAAAAACCAAACACCGCATATTCTCACTCATAGGTGGGAATTGAACAATGAGATCACATGGACACAGGAAGGGGAATATCACACTCTGGGGACTGTTGTGGGGTGGGGGGAGGGGGGAGGGATAGCATTGGGAGTTATACCTAATGCTAGATGACGAGTTAGTGGGTGCAGCGCACCAGCATGGCACATGTATACATATGTAACTAACCTGCACATTGTGCACATGTACCCTAAAACTTAAAGTATAATAAAAAAAAAACAAAATAAATAAATTTTACAAAGAGACACATAAATTTAGCTCTAATACATAAACAAATGTATATTAATTGAGGGAAAAAAGATTCTTGGACAAAGTGGTCTATTAAATTAAAAATCATATAATCTGATTGGCTAAAGATTTATACTTATTTAAAAAATAGATATTTTTATGTATGTAAAGAAATAAATATAATTTTATATATATATATTTTGTTAATAAGTACAGGTCTTCAACTAAGGACATTGCATGATATTTACATTATAAGCCAAATGGTAAATGCTATTTATCTCTCTTTTACTAAATTTTCTTTTCTATTTGTAGAGATTCTTATAACTATATGAATGGTTCCATTCACTTTTCAAGCAAGTAGGATGTAGCCCTATGCATTACCCAAATTTTGGGGAGAAAATATAAAGATTAATTTGGAAAAAGGGTAGACTTTTAAAATGAAAAATCAATGCATATATTGGTGATATGCAGACATTTCAAAATGTCACAGTTATTTATTTTGCTACTCCAGTGCACTGACTCAACTCAAGTTGAGGTTCAATGTTAAACCATGTAATAGAGAGTACCTGTAATTGTCGTCATAATGTTGTGAAGTTACCATCACTGAATAAATGACTTATTCTGGAATTCCTGCTGACAGTTAAGGTGAATGATCTCTGTTACATAGTTTATTAGGAAGATCTTTTTTATTTTCCCCTTTTGTTCCATTTGTTTTACTTGTTTTTTCCCTTACATTTGTTTTCCCGAAGCAGGTAAGAGGACTTCAGATAAAAGAAGTTTATTCATACAGAATAATAAATTATTTATCATTAGTTAATATAGTTTTTTTATCAAAAAGATATGAATGAAAATACACACTATAATTTGCTTTTTCATGTGATTTTTGACATATTTATATAAAAATAGATGCTAAAATTATGTTTAATAACATATAGTTGATATATGGTATTAGAAAACAAACTTTTTAAAAATTCATATTCTCATCAGAGTCTAATAAAACAATGAATTAAAAATAAAACTAAGCCTTAAAGAAGTAAGTTGTAAAATGATTAATATAATAATGCAAGTCTTAATCTAAGGTTAAGATGATATTTTATATCAATGTTCTTGAACTTAATATTGACATTTAAATAAGTTAAAATGACAAAAAAATGGTTAACTACTTAAGATAGCATACTCCCTTAAAAGCTACAGAAAAATCATTTTAATCCGTCAATGTTTTAATGAATTTAATTGAATTTTTTTCTTTTTTTTTTATTTTGAGACAGGGTCTGGCTCTGTTGCCCAAGCTGAAGAGCAGCGGGCACAATCATGGCTCACTGCAGCCTCGACCTCCCAGGCTCAACATTCCTCCTACCTCAGCCTCCCAAGTAGCTGGGAGTACAGGCACACACCACCACACTGGCTGATTTTTTTTTTTTTTTTGGTAGAAACAAAGTCTCACTATGTTGCCCAAGATGGTCTCAAACTCCTGGGCTCAAGCAGTCCTCCTGCTTCAGCCTCCCAAACTGCTGTGATTATAGGCGTGAGCCACTGTGCCTGGCTGATTTTAATTTTGTGATTGTAGACCCAAGGTAATTTTGGTATGACAACTTAGTATCCTAAATACATGTTATTCTGTTCTTCAACTTGAGTTACTTAATGCCTGGTTTGACATAATGAGATTTGTTCATTTATGATTTCATAATTATTTCAGGAGTATATTAATCAGAAGGTAAGAGAAACAGTAGTATTCTAAGGCCTTAAAGTCAGATTTAAAAAATTCTTATTCTCAGACTTAAAAAGAATTTTTGTTCAATATCGGTCAAAGAACATTCCCAGAGAATTTGGGAGTTGGTGAGTTTAGAGTGCAAAGAAAGGGAGACTAAAAATGCCAACTCACATAAAGGTTGGGAAGGCAAGATAATCAGTAGGTCAGATGCAAGCATAAAACTAAGTAGAATGAGCTGCATCTCAAACTAAGACAATGAACAAGGACAGGCAAGACCAAAGAGGAAGTTTAGTAGATACACCCAAAAAGGAGATTCATTGAGAAAAATATAGGTGTTATGTGTATGTGTATGTATGTGTGTGTGCATGCACCTTTGTGTGCAAATTGGATGTCTGCAAAGGCCTGAACAGTCATACTGTATGTCAGTTTGCCAATATCACTAGCTCATTATTGGCTAATTCCCTGATGATTGTCCATTGGAAAAAAAAAAAAAGATGGTGTTAAATTCCTCAGAATGTGTTGAATTAAGCAATGTATTGAGAGAAAATGTTGTTGTTTCAGAATTAGGGCTAACAAAGTTGCAAAATAATTAATTGGAACAGCCAAATTTTAGTATTAGTTGATAAAACCAGATGAAAAAAGTATTTTCAGGCCAAAGATTAGAAGTCAAATGAAAAGAGAAAGAGGAAAGAAGAGCAATGACAAGAAAGTACATAATCATCAGAGAAGCAGAATGAAAGCAAAAGGGAAAAAGAAAAATACAGAAAAAAATGAAATCTAAGATTTTTGGCTTACTTTGGCTTATTTATTGAATGATTAATGTAAACTGAAAGATCTTATTGAGAAACAAGATTTCTTCCTGCTGAGGCAATGCTATTATTTTATTCATTTGTTCGTTTCACATAGAACAGATTTATATTTATGTTCTCTGATAACACAGACTCATTTTAGAAAATTTGGTAAAGAAAACCAAGAAAAGTAAAAATTCAAATTAAAAAAAAAGTTTAGTAGCTAATTTAAATGCCTTGAAACCAAAACAAGAAAGAAGAAAATAAATATGGTCATCATGCTAAATTCGTATGCATTCAATTTTTATTTTTAATATTATTTTTATAATTTAGAGATCTAAATTTAGATCTCTAAATGTAGAGATCTAAGGGTTTAGGTTTGATGATTTTTGACAATTTTATATGCCCATTTACACAAAAAGCAAAATAGAAAATATTCCCATTATAGCAAAAGTTCTCTTGTCCACTTTTCTAATTAACCCACCCCTGCCCCAACAACTTTATGATTTCTAATACCATAGATTAGTTTTGTATATTCTTATCTCTCTATGTCCTCTTGTCACATATTTTACTTCTGCATGTGATATAAACCCTATAATACATTGTTATGTTTGCTTTAACCAATCAACCATCTTTAAAATTATGTTAAATACATATGCATATGCATGTGCATATGTAGTTATGTTTGTGTATATATGTGTTATGAAAAATGTCCTTTATGTTTAATGATATATTTACTTTTTTGGGTTCTTAGTTTTTTCTGGAGTTCTGGATTTTTGTCTGATATAATTTTACATTAGCTTAAACAAGTATTTTTAGTAATTTTTATATTATAAATATGCCGAAGACAAATTATCTCAGCTTTTATTTTGCCTAAAAGTGTTATTTCTTCTTTCTTTTTGAAAAACATAGATACAGGTAAAGAATCCTTAACAGAGTTTTTCCAGCATTTTAAAGATTTCGTTCCAGTGTCTCCTAGCCCCAGTGTTTCTTAAGTCAATTGTCATTCTTATCATTGATGTCATGATGTGATATATCAACCCTGCTGCTTTTATTTTTTCTGGTTTTCTTTGCTTCTAAGCAGTTTAATTTTAATGTACATAGATAATTGATTCTTTGACTTTATCTTGTTTGTAGTTTGCTGGCTTCTCAGAACTATAGATTTATGCTTTTCATCAATTTTAGAAAATGATTACTACATACTTCTTCAAGTAGTTCTTTTGTTCCACTCTTTTTTACTTCTCCATCTCTAGCTCTAATTATGTGTGAGAAGCTATTTGTCATTATTCTACAGGCATCATATGCTCTGATCTTTTTAAATAAGTTTTCTCTTTATGTTGATTTAGACGATTACTATGGAAAGCCTTCAGATTCACTTATCTTCTCCATGGCTTTTAATCTTTGAACCCTTCAAATACATTCTTCATTTCTAATATGAATTGTTTTAAGTTTCTAGCTTGTCTATCAGAATTAATTTTATAGTTTCAATCTCTGTTGACATACCTTGTCTTTGCACATATTGTCCCCTTTTTTTCTTTAGATCTTTTAGCATAGTACTCACAGTTATTTAAGAATCCCTATAAGATGATTCCAGCAACTGAATCCAAAATAGGGGGTTGCTCCAACTGACTGTTTCTTCTTTAGACCATGGGTCATATTTTATTGTACCTTCAAGAGACTCATAATTTTTTATTATATGTTGAACGTTGTGTGGGAAAGAATCACAAACATTGTAGTAAATAAAATTTTCTCCTCAGAATATTTAATTTAATTTAATTTATTTATTTATTTTTGAGACGGAGTCTCACTCCGTCACCCAGGCTGGAATGCAGTGGCGCAATCTCAGCTCACTGCAAACTCCACCTCCCGGGTTCACGCCTTTCTCCTGCCTCAGCCTCCCGAGTAGCTGGGACTACGGGCGCCTGCCACCACGCCCAGCTAATTTTTTGTATTTTTAGTAGAGACGGGGTTTCACCATGTTAGCCAGGATGGTCTCGATCTCCTGACCTCGTGATCCGCTCGCCTCCGCCTCCCAAAGTGCTGGGATTACAGGCGTGAGCCACCGCGCCCGGCCTAGAATATTTTAAATGTTTCCTGTAATTTTCCTAGTTTGCCAAACTGAGGGAGCCTGATTTAACCTAATCTGCAGGTAGACTGGTTCTCAGTTTGGTTTCGAGTTAATTGATCACAGCTTTCAAGTATTTTGAGAATGAGATTATGACGTCTTCAGCAAGACTTGGGATCTGAGCAAGATTAAAATCCCAATTTTTTAAATATTTTGCAGATAGCTGTCAACTTTCCAAACTCTAGAACATCATTCTCTGCTTTGTAGCCTGGGTGATGACTTTGTGGGTTACTGGAAAATTTTATTGCTGTCTAGTCCTGCCAGACTTTCTGAACCTCAAGAGATATTTGCCTGTCCTGAAGCCTGTTTCTAGACTTTGGACAGCTGCTGGAGACAATTGCATAAAAACCCTGGTTGCCTGGTAGAATTGTCTTACCTCTCATGCTTTATGTCCACCTATTTGAGACTGCAGCAATGGATGCAATAAAGGCCCAGAGGACTTGAAAGAATTTTTTTCAACCCACTGGTGTGACTCCCAGACTCTATACTTTCAGTGTGCTCAATGAAGGCCCATGGGAAAGAGTTTCGAATGGGTAGACTTACACCATAGCAAGGGTGCCTTGATATTGTAATCCACCACAGTCCCTGCATGAATATTTCTGAATGTATTAAAATTTTAATTGTTAGTTTAAAATTTAATTTTATTGGCCAGACGTGGTGGCTCACGCCTGTAATCCCAGTACTTTGGGAGGCTGAGGCGGGTGGATCACGAGATCAGGAGATCAAGACCATCCTGGCTAACACGGTGAAACCCTGTCTCTACTAAAAATACAAAAAATAAAATAAAATAAAATAAAATAAAATAAAATAAAATAAAATAAAATAAACCAGGCGTGGTGGCGGGCACTTGCAGTCCCAGATATTCGGGAGGCTGAGGCAGGAGAATGGCGTGAATCCGGGAGGCGGAGCTTGCAGTGAGCCGAGATCACGCCACTGCACTCCAGGTGGGCAACAGAGCGAGACTCCATCTCAAAAAAAAAAAACAAAAAACAAAACTCAATTTTTCATCAATTTTATTAATACATAACACAATATATCCCAGGCGTACTACAAAATCCTCTCCTGTTTCTCTGCTAGGGATAAAAGCAACCATTAGCTAATTCTTTGAGCTGGTAACTTTTATATTTTGTTGTTATTCTTAGGAGGGAGTAATGGTCCTTTAGGACTTTCTGTATCCTAAGTTACATTTTTCTTTTAATTTTACTTATTAAGAAAGTGGTACACTATATTTAAAAATATGAGATCTGTCTCATGTAAAACAATTTCTGGTTTCTCTTGTTTCTTGACTACTTTAGGTAAGTTCTTGCTCTATAGCATGAGAACTCAATTTCTTTTGAAATTGCCCTTAATCACAAAATAGTGTGGCAATCTCTCCAATTTTACCGGCATATCAAAGGTTAGAGGTGGGGTGTCAGAAGAACCCGAAAGTGGCGGAGATTGTTCAGAAAATGAATATAAGTAGAATAAATTTCTTGTGACAAATTGTGGATTAATTAGATCTGGAAAGGATGTACTCACGTTTAGCTTTTGGAGTCTGTGTGCTGTAATTCTGCTTGATTTTGAAGAAAATTTAAAAAAAAGTTACCAAATGATTATTTTAATGAGACATTTTTAGATTCCTTCCTCCCTAGCCAGGAGATGTTTTTCAAGATTATTAGAAGCTTAACAATAAAGAGTTGTTATATCCCTAGTAGCTTGTCACTAGAAGGGTAAAAAACAGCCAAACACAAAAACGAAGTCATTAGTTAATATTTTTATATCAAGTGATGCTTTTTAACTTAGAAAAATAAAGAAAACCTCACAGTAATATCATGTTATAAATCTCCAAGTTATTAAATCAATCCTATAATTGTAAAATTGGTAAAATTATTGCATATATGTTTATTTTCTAATTTTATTATTTCTGGAAAATATTTATCACCAAACAAAATTTTAATATATTTCATAACTCTAGGAACACATGTCCTGCAGATATAAACATGTAAGAGTATCTGTCTAGAAAGAGGAATAGAGAAATAAAGATATTTTATTAGACTTAAGTTATATTAACATCTACTCTTTTCACTTACTAAGTCTCTTGTTCATTAAATATTTAATGAAAATTCTAGATATTTTAGTACTTTTAAATTATTATCTAAGTGTCTGAAACAAGCATTTGGTTAAAGTTTAAAAAAATAATTGTTTACTTATTTTACTTATCAGTGTTAGATAATTATACTGAAGCAGCCACTTTACTAAAAATCACTATACTAAAAAGACTGTTTTACATATGACTTAAGTAAAATAAATACTAGAATTTAGTTCAACATTAAACATGGACTGCATATGAAAATGACTGGGACAATTAAGGTTGAATACTTCTTGCTTCTCCTCATCAATAGGAGAAATACCCATGCACAAATTTCAAGTGACCAGCCACTCTGAAGCTGGCTTTCTACTTACAGAATCTTTTTCTTCACTAACATTGGATTCTGAGTTTCCATCTCAATTCTTTCTGCTGGAATTTATTTCTCCATCTTCATTTCATACATTTCAAAACTTTATTTTAACGTGTTCTGCTTGGCACAATCAGCAAGTCTGCAAACTTATTTTCTGCTTTAGATTTATAAGCTACTTGACAGCTGAGCTCTAGTATTCCTTTTCTTAAATTTTATTTTAACAAAAACTCATATAGCACTGATCAAGCAGTGTTCTAAATGTTTTACAGTCATTCATTTTAATTACCAAAACAATCTCATAAAATATGTACTATAATTATACTCATAAGAAAAGCATCATTCAATTCTTATAGTTGGTGACACATAAGAGATGTCCATTAAATGTTGAACTAGACTTCAGTCATTTACTTAATGAAAAAGCATTTATTTAATGTCAATGTTCTTGGGACTCCACTAGAGTATATGGATGAAAAAGATGATTAATCTCGTTCTCATCTTCACAATTAAGTCTGGGAGAATGGTACAAATGGGATAATGACCACTTTCACTAGAGGGAGGAATATATCAAGATATGATCAAGAATGAAGATTGTGTATGAATTGGTATATCATAATACACAGACATTCAACAGACTGCTAATAGGAAGTCAAGCATTTTAACCAAAGAAGAAAAAGAGAGTTGTGGCATACTTGGAGAACTACAAAGTTTGTTGAGGCCAGGCCATTGAATGATGTACATGAGTAGGACACAAAGAGTTAGGCATGGATTACTTTGTTCAGAGCCTTCTTTGTACATACAAAGCATGTCAGATTTAATCCTGACCTAAGTTTTCCAAAATGTGCCCTAGGGAACACTGGTTCTGTGTAGTGTTTTATGGGAGGATACATATAAACCGTTTTAGGATCTAATAGATTCAAAAAACTCTGTATACCATTGTATGTCTTGCTCTAGGAAAGAGAAAACATATTCCATTTCTTAGAAACATTGTAATATAAGAAAATTATTTATTGTTTAACACAAATTTCCATATCTTTTTGATGATAGAACAATTTTTCAATAGAACAGATTTGATAAAGCAGCGTTGTAAGATTTTCACCAAATCTGTAACATGACCAGACTGTTATTCTAGAAGGCTCTGTAGAGTGGCAATACACAAATGGACTGAAGAAGACAAAATAAAAAGTGGCTGGTAGCAGCTATTTCCTCATTAAATTACCCAGGAGTAATTAGAGTTGCTGAGGGCTGATTAAGGTGGCTGAGATTGGTGGGAGGAGACATTTTTAAGACAGTGTTCAAAGTGAAAGCACTTGGTACTAAATAAGTAATGGGAATAGAAAAATAAGATTTTTGACATGAATGACTAGTTCAATGTTTGACATAAATTAAGATAAAAGATTCAAAGCAAAACACATTCCAGGAGAGAAATAATGGTTAAATGTTACCATATGAATTTGAATCCACGTGGAACATCTGGACAGAGCCCCCTACTAGGCTACTGGCTCTAAAGAAGTGGGTAAGGTCATGAGGGAGAAAAAAGAATAGAAGAACCCTGGAATTGAGAGCCATAAAGGAGACTATGTAATAAGAGATTGTAACAGAAAAGGAGATAAAGGAACATGCAGTGATGCGGAAGTGAAAAGAGGACTGAGAAGTCCCTGGTAGATAAATGATATAGGGGAGGAGATTCTGGGAGGAATAAAACAAGAATACCTGTCAATGCATGAAAGAGAGTGGTAAAAGTGAAAACCTGGAGGAACATGAAATATACCGCAATCAATTTTCAAACTTTGGAAAAATGTATTCCAGATTATTTCTTAGAGTCATTCAAATTGCTGACATGTTGTAATTGAATTCATATTTCACCATATGACCTAATTTTCTACAGAACCTGGGACAGTGGTTCTGTGAGTCTATGTATACTTACATCCATATATATGTGATATACTTATATATAGAAGTCTGTCTTGTGTAATGATGCTCCAAATGAAATAATTCTCAATTTTTAAGCAAACGGAATGTTTTTCTCTAAATGATAACTTTTAAGTAAATTGGTACTCTCCTGTGATTTCTCTTTTTCCCTTGTCTTTACATTTAAAATTTTCAAAAATTTCTATATTTTCTATTGGAGCTATAGGTAAAATGTTGTATAACAAAAAACATATACTTTGGGTTTCCTTTAAATTTTATTTTTTATTTATGGTTCCTTATTAAATATCATATATAAAATAAGATGTGCTTACTATATGTTATTTTTGTATGTAGGAAATATTAAAATAATAAACAAAAGTTTCTTTCTTAATTTACCCTAAGCATTTATTTCGGTCATATTTCATTGAATTGTACCCATAGTTCAAAAACATTGCTTTGTTTTAGAGAAAGAAAAACAGCTTGTTTACCTAAGATATCAAGATATCAAGGATAGTCGTGTGAACAATAAAGTGTTTCAGAATGTATATGGTCAGAGAAATAAGAATGCCTCTGAAATCCTACTGGTAGGACTGCTAAAAACCCATATATTTTTATTTGCAAAAGTTGACATGCAGGCATTTTCTCTTTTTATTAAAAGCATTGAATATAAAGGAACAGAAGAAGGCCCTTAGGCCTGGCATATCAACTTCCATTTTGCTTTACTCATTTCCATTTTTCTATTCCTGTTTTGGTTGTTATTTAAAACAGGCAATAGAACTTTGGCCATATATTAAGCCCAGGAGCTCTCATTAAATATGTTTCTGTTTCAAATGTGAAAACATTTGTTGACTGTGGAAATATTCAGTAAATCTCTATATTTAGCTTTGAACTTGTTGTAGTTATTTCCTTTTAATCTAGATATTTCTATTTATCTCCTGCAAAAGGCTTCAAAATGTCACCAGAAAGAAATGTTTTAAGAATTTTTTTTCTTTACTCAAAGGATTACTAAATATTCTAAAACTATGATCCACAGTATGGAATCTGCTCTCTGTGCTCTGTTTTGTATAGATGGTAGTCTGAAATATAACCTGTTGGATCACTTAGAATTTAACAGTACGTAAGTCAACACAATTATGCAACTCAGTATTAGCCTTGCTTTAAGAAGAATCTTTACTAATAAATAGTGGCACATAAGTCTGGATTTTGGGAAACATGCCTCCAAGTCTCAGGCCATTAAATACTTGATTATATGTCATTTAATTCCTTCAATTGATTTAGAAACCTAAACAGAAGAATAGAAATGTCAATAATATCCATTGCCTTCACATCTCACTCCTAATCTACTTTCTCTTTTTCCCTATTTCCAAAGATGATCAGGCAGTGTGGTAAAATTTCAGAAGTGATGAAATTCAGAAAACAAAATTTAAAAACTATTGAAATGTAGTCATATTGTATACATACATAATAATGTAACAGAGATGGTACAACCTATGTTAAATGGTCAATATGTAACAATTTGGTCATAATCTATATTTTAAGTCTGGAAAAAATATATAATTTTTTTAAATGAATAAATTAGGTCTATTTAATTTTAAAATATTGTTTTAAATTAAACTTTTTTACTTTGAGATAATTGTGATTCACACACAATTGTAAGAGATGATACAGAGATTCAACATAGTCTTTAACCAATTTCCCCAGGTGGTAATGTTATGCAGTACTATAGTAGAATGTCAGCCAGTATATTGACATTGATAAAGCTAATAAAGAAAACATTCCTATCACCACGAGGATCCCTCCTGTTGACCTTTCATAGTCACAATCATTTTCCTCCCACCCCTAGCTCTCTCCTTAAACCCTGGCAATCACTATTCTGTTCTCGATTTCTATAATTTTATAATTTCAAAAACAGTATATAAATGGAATTATACAATATGTAACCTTTTAGGATTTGCTTTTTTCACTTAGCATAATTTTCTGAATATTTATCTAGGTTATCACTTCTATTAATAGTTTGTTCCATTTATTTGTTGAGTAATAGTCTACAGATGATATTAGAGGTTTTTTTTCCAGTATTTTTTTGCTATTACAAATAAAACTACCATAAAGATTGTGTACAGGTGGTTGTGTGAACACAAATTTTCATTTCTCTGGGTTTGAATGCCCAGGAGTACAATTTCTGGATCATATGGTAGTTGCATGGTTAGTTTTTTAAGAAATTGGCAAACTGTTTTACAGAGTGACTGTACCTGTTTACATGCCTACCAGAAGTGTATGACTGATTTAATTTCCCTGCATCCTCATCAGTCTTTGGTGTTGTCACTGTTTTTTATTTTTATTTTTATTTTTAAGCTTTTAATTTAGGTTCAGGAGTATACTTGCAGGTTTGTTGTATAGGTAAACTCATATCACAGGGGATTGCTATGCAGATTATTTCATCACCCAGGTACTAAGCCCAGTACCAAGTATTATTTTTTCTGATCCTCTCCTTCCTCCCACCCTCCACCCTCAAGTAGTCCCCAGTGTCTATTGCCCCCCTTTTGTGTCTATCAGTTCTCATTATTCAGCTCCCATTTATAAGTGAGAACATGTGGTATTTGGTTTTCTGTCCCTGCGTTAGTTTGCTAAGGATAATGGCCTCCAGCACCATCCATGTTCCCACAAAGACATGATTTCATTCTTTTTAATGGCTGAATGGTATTCCATTGTGTATATGTACCATGTATTCTTTATCCGGTCTGTCATTGATGGGCATTTAGGTTGATTTCATGTCTTGCTCTTGTGAATAGTGCTGCAATGAACATTTGTGTGCATGTGCCCTCATGGTGGAATGATTTAGATTCCTTTGGGTATATACCCAGCAATGAAATTTCTGGATCCAATAGTGGTTCTGCTTTTAGCTCTTTGAGGAATTGCCATACTGCTTTCCACAATAGTTGAACTAATTTACACTCCCACCAACAGTATATGAGTTTCCCTTTACTTCACAACCTCACCAGCATCTGTTGTTTTTTGACTTTTTATTAATAGCATTCTGACTGCTGTGAGACGATATCTCATAGTGGTTTTGATATGCACTTCTCTAATAATTGGGGGTATTGAGTTTTTCTTCATATGCTTGTTGGCCATGTGTATGTCTTCTTTTGAAAAGTGTCTGTTTATGTGTTTTGCCCACTTTTAAGTGGTGGTACCATAATAGACCCATAGACCAATGGAACAGAATAGAGAGCCCAAAAATAAGGCCACACACTTGCAACCATCTGATCTTTGGCAAAGTTGACAAAAGCAAGCAATGAGGAAAGGACTCCCTATACAATAAATGGTGATGGGATAACTGGCTAGCCATATGCAGAAGATTGAAACTAGACCCCTTACCATACACAAAAATCAACACAAGATGGAGTAAAACTTAAATGGAAAACCCAAAACTATAAAAACCCTAGAAGACAACCTAGGCAATACTATTCTGGACATAGGAACAGACAAAGATTTCATGACAAAGATGCCAAGTGCAATTGCAACAAATGCAAAAATTGACAAATGGGATCTAATTAAACTTAAGAGCTTACGCACAGCAAAAGAAACTATCTACAGAGGAAATAGACAACCTACAGAAAGAAAATATTTGCAAACTATGCCCCTGTCAAAGTTATCATATCCAGCATCTATAAGGAATTTAAACAAATTTATAAGACATTTTAATTTTTATCTTAAAGTTTTTAACTTTGAATGGATTTTAAATTTATAGCTGAGTTCAAACATGTGGAATTATTTTACAAACATTTTATATGTAAAAATTAAGATCATCATGGCAAAAAAATATATCTATATATCAAAGAATATTTGTTCTGTGTGTATATGGACAAAAGCATGTATTTCTTATCTACAAATTGAAAGAAGATAAGTTATTAGCATTGGTTATGGTGATATCTCAGAGAGTTAAGCTGTTAATATGTGTGATCTTTAGCTCCATATTTATTTCAGCATGTTTCCTGGATGATAAGTAAAAAGTACAAAAATACAAAATGTAAAACCATAGACTGGAAAATCAGAAGTTATAAATACTAAAAGGAGAAATAACCAAACAATTATTCAATCATCAAAATCTCTTATTTATATAGATAAAATTTCAATTTCAGTATTTTGGCTAAACTTTTTAAATGGATGGTTTTTCTAAAGATTTCAGATGGGAGGGAGGAAGGAGGAAGTGCTTTGATTGAACATGACAAATATCAAGTAGAAGAATCTTACCACCATTCTAAATCTGAATTTTGGATATTCATCATTCAGGGAGTTCCACTTGGCCTATTCAAATCATCTCTTCATTTTCCTGAGTCCTTTCTTTCTTTATTATCTTTTATCACACCCATTCCTCTCTCAAGAAGCAAACAAATTTTCATCCTCCTCTTTTTACACAGAATAGTTTATGTCCTCCTTGCTAAAACCTTGGAACCAGAAAACTTTTACCACATGGGTGTTGTGTCTTCCATTCCAAGTATTTATCAAGGAATTTTACTAAATATACAGTATCTTGCTTCAAGGGAAATGTAGAAATTTCCTGATTTGTTAATAATTGTGTATGCGAGTACTAATATATGAATTAAAATCCTACAGTCACATGGCTTTATGGATAGTTATTTGAATCTAAGTATTCATTTCAGAAACTCTAATCAAATTGAAACAAATAAACACAAAGTGAAAATGGGATTTAATCAGGTAAAAAGTGTGAAGAAGAAAGGCGACATAAATGAAACAAACTGGCTGACTTAGCCTACATTGTCAAAAGTTATTCTTACTTGTATTCTTTCTTATTTTGAATTCTCTGAGCACATTGGTTTTAATCAATCAGCTTCTAGGAAGACTAAAACCATGAGTAGCAAAACAAGAGCTTTCATGCCAAGAGGATTTAGTTGTAAGCTCAAATAGCTCTGTTTAAATGCTAAAACTGTTAATGATTTCACCTGTAGGGGGAAAAAAAAAACAGCTCATAAACCTTAACTAAAATGACATATCAACCCTTGACATTTTTTTCTTTTGAAAAGACAAAAGAAAATGAAACAAAAGAAATGTCTTCAAGTTTCAAATATGTAATTAATCATCCAGATATTCTTTTGATCACCCAAATAACTGAGCTATTTTCTTTTCATCTTTAACTGTGCACTTCACATTGCTGTCACCTGGAGAACTTGGCATTCAGATACACTTAATGATATTTTGTACTTTCCTTTGACATCTGTTTTATTTACAAATTGTGCTTTACATTTTTAACCTTCAGCGATCGAGTATATTTGAAAACAAAAAGACCTGAATATGTGAAGAAAACAGTAATTCAGCTCAGAGTCAGTCAGAGCTACATAATGTAGATGAGAGCTATTACTGGGGGCCATACACCTCCTGCTCAGTCTTGCCCCCGGATTCCCCAATTTCATATGCTTGAGAGATTTCAGGAGGCCTTGGGATTATCAGGAAATTGTTTATCAAACTGGTTTCACAAAAGACCATACAGATACATTCAATTTGTCTTCGAACACCACCTAGGATTCCCTTCATCTAACAAACTTACTTACTCTGGATGCAGGTTGGACTTTGAGAATTTCTTCCCACCCCACTCCACTGCCCCTTTAAGTCTCAGTTTATGTTCTTTTCTACATTCTAACACTAGTTAGAGGTGGTAAGAACTTGGTATGGCTTATTCAATTCATAATTCCCTGAGTGATAAGCATGTTTCATATATGCTTCTATGTGTGATATATGGTGATATCTGCCCTAAAAAATACATAAAATGAAACTATGTTTCAAAACTTCATATAATAAGCATTACCAACTGAAATTGAACACTCGTTTTTGTGTAGCACAAGAAAAGCACCGCATACTTCAATTTATGTTCCCAATTTTTTAGTTTGTACATTTAACACATCAATGGCAGCACCTCGTCTTCAAATATCTTCTTAAAGTCTTCCTTTAGATACAACATTCTGTTGTCCTAGAGATAAAGGACTGCTTACTGTCCACATATGAAAAATGTGTATTTATATGTTTATTCATTCATGGACTCTCAGTAAACACTTGACTGTTTCTCATTGCAAATAAGTGTGAATGATACGACTATACTTCTGGGTAGTTGCATCTTATCACTCCTTGTGCTCAGAGCCTGAGAGACTGAAAAATAGTCAAAGCTCTCATTATATGCTGCATGGATAAGTGAACAAGTGATTGAATCACTATGACTCCTGACTTCAAGAGCAACATAATAGCAGTAAAATAGTAAAATATGTTACTACAAAAAAAGTCATAAGGGAAAAGGGACAAAATAAGAAGTGCCAAATTAGATGTGCTGCATTATTGGTTGGGAACTTGGAATCATTGTCACCCTTTTCAAGAAGAACCTTTCTTTGAGTTTTCTGCCCTTTGTAGTTCTGTGTTAGAGTCTGTCAATGAGGCACTTGTGCAGTTTGGAAGGCAGAATAGAAGGAGCAGCCGTAATTCTTGCAGCTTCAAGCATATCTATGGGCAAGCTCCTTGAATCATCCACTTTAGTACTCTAAGTAGCTGAGATAGCAAGATGGTGCTTCTTAAGAATTACTTCTGTTGGTGTTGCAGACTGAAATAATCTGTGGTAGCCCCTCATGAGTCAAAAAATTCCCAGTGACTTCTGGGCAAGCTTTTGAAACCCACCAGATGCAGCTGAGATACCTGACTTTCACTTCTCCATCACTTCCATGACATTCAATTTTTCTGATAAACTAAATTAAATTTGGCTTAAATCTGCCTCTGTACATAGCAAACTGTAACCTAACCTAATATGTAAGCAAACTGCAACTTGAGAGTGTATTCTTGTAACAAGTAACAAAGTCTAGGCCAACCATAGCAACTTAGCTTTAAGTCAGTCACAGGCTGAAAACTACTCAGACATGTTCAGATAAGGCAAATGTTGAGCTGTAACTAATCAGGCTATTCCTGTATGTCACTTCGTTTTCTGTCAATAAATATTGCCTGTCCGCATTGCTGGATGAGGGTCTCTGATCCTTTAATGGTTTAGGGAACTTTCTGATTCATGAATTGTATCTCTGCTCAAATAACTTGGCTAAGTTAATTTGTTAAAGTTTTTCTTTTAATACCCATAATTTCTGGGATTGGACTCTTTCTTACCTCGTGGCTTCTCTTTTCCTGATCAAATCCTAACTGATACACCAGAGTTCTGAGAGTTTTAAGTTCCAAGAAATGATATTGAAGTAAATAATTTTGTATGTGCTATGAAGTTTACAGTACCCCGTAGCAAAGCTAAGTGGTTCACTGGACAAGTAAAAATTTCAGGGAAAAAAATTTTAAAATGTTGTACTAAATCTTTTCTCCTGACTCAATGTGCATATCCAGTCTCTCACCCACTAGAATGAAACAGAATTTTTTTTTGTCATTCTCAAGTCATAAAAATGTTCTGAAGTAAATTTATCCTCTACAGTATTAATTCATTAATATTTATATACAACTCAATATTATAATCAAAATGCAAACCCCACTCAAAATCAAGTTCCCCCTTCTGTAGCTCAGGCCCCCTACAGAGAAGAAGTCTATAATGGGAAAAAATGCTTGGCTGGATTATTTTATTTTTGTTTACCTAGTGTTACCTGATCTCTGGCCCTTCTATAGTTGGTAATAGTAGAAAAACAATTAATATGACAGAAAAAAAGTCTTACTTTACAGACATAACTCTAAAGTGTGTTTCTGACTCATTTGTGATGAGACAAAGCTGACTCATAGGAGCATTTTTGTGGTTTCTTAAGGAACATTCCCTCCTCCATTAGTGAGTCTCACCAGCAGTTCTCAAAATGGGTTGAGAACACCCTAGCCAGCTGACAACCTCCACACAGAAGTTTACAGAAACTCTTTGATAGGGTCTCATTAACCCTGCAAGTGAACCAGTGAACCTCTTAGCCAGGATCTAGGACAGCACAAACCTGTTTCTCCTCCTTTCTCTCTGTTTTAGAGTTTCCTATTGGGTCCAGAAGAATCACATAATGTTGGACCATGCTTCTGGTAGAAGTACGGTTTCTTGCTAAATTCAACCCTCTTTTCATTTTGCATATGGTAGTAGTTTCAGTCACTGTTTCTTACCCTTTATATTTCTAGATGTGAGTTAGACATTTATCCACCCTTTTATAAAAATTCCAACAGATACAGGAAACACAGTGAATGGTTTTTTGACATCCCTTCCTCCCCAGTTTGGTTTGCTATGGGGATGGAACACTATCCCTCTTCCATAGTTTAAGGTACTCACAGAACACAGACAATACTCTCTAAAGATATTCTTCAAGTTTCAAACTCCTGTGGTCTCTCTGATGTTAACCTTTTCACATCCTCCAATTGGTGGGTGGACAAGGGGCACAAAACTTGTTTATAGCCACCGTTTTTCCAAAGCCTTCAAAAGTCATTGAGTGCCTTCCTCTGTTTTTTAAAGATAATTGACAGCTATTTTGAGGCATCTCAGCTAAAAGTGAGGTACACAAAGTCACAGGTACACATAAAGGCATTTAAAAGCCCACTAGGATTTCTTTCCTCTTTATCTCTTTACCGAGGAAAATGTGTTTTCTCCTCTTCATTCAACATTTATGCTTCTGCGTGTTTTGTGTATCCTCAAATTAGGAGCAGGCAAATCTCTATATCAAAGACTTACAACGACTTACACAAAACAATCTAAAGTCCCCTGTCCTTTTTTTCCTCAAGAAACTCCCAGCACCACTCATGTCAAAGCATTTTATTGATGGATGTTGGCCACTCATAATCCCTCGCAGGTGCCGTTCTCCTGGTCTTTTCTACTCTTCTAAAGGTGAGCCACTCTTTCTCATCTCCTGGAGGATGAGAGCATTTTCCTTAGCCTTGTCCTACTACTACTATTGCTCACTCAAACACCTACCCAGTATCATAGCCTCTTCCACAGCAACCTTCCTGGAGGCTCTGCATTCAGGATTTAATAACTAAAGTACATGTGCTTCAGTTCTCTAGCTGCTTCTGGTTTTATTTTCTCCACAGTAAAATTTGTTCTTATTCCCTGTAGTAGTCCGTTCTCACACTGCTAAAAAAGACATACTGGAGACTGGGTGATTTATAAAGGAAAGAGGTTTAATTGATTCACAGTTCAGCATGCCTGGGGAGGCCTCAGGAAACTTACAATTATGGCAAAAAGGGAAGCAAACACGTCTTTCTTCACATGGCAGCAGCAAGGCGAAGAATGAGTTCCCTGAGAAGGGGGGGGCCCCTTATAAACCCGTCAGAGCTCATTAGAGTTTACTATCACAAGAACAGGATGGGGGAAACTGCTCACATGATTCAATTATCTCTACTTCTTTCCTCCCATGACACACGGAGATTATGGGAGCTACAATTCAAGATGAGATTTCGGTGGGGACGCAGCCAAACCATATCATTCCCGTCGGGTCAATAGCGACTTTAGGTCACATTTAAATGTGATTATCAACTAAAGACTATTTTTAAGGATAAAATATACTTTGTTTATAATTATATGGTAAAGGGGGAAACTTAGCTTACAAGAGAGTTCTTCAGCAGTACATATACATACCATACATTTCAACTTACGGTATGAAATCAGACATAGACTCAGAGTATGCATGAGAAAGCAGAAAATGTCATGAGCAGCATCCACTAAGATCCAGCCCGGGCTAGATTACATGACGGAGACCAGCCATAGGATAAAAGGGTACAGAAGGAGTCTGAACTAGTCTGAAGGTTTTATTAGCAGGTAAGGTGTTATGTTTTGTTTTTGTTTTTTACATCCAAAATCAATTGGGTCTATTTCTTAGACTGCATAGAGAATGAGAGAGAGGTTTAATAATTTCTTTAGGAATTTGTCACTTTGTTACACTGACAGCATCAAAAATTTGGATAATGTTTTTAAGCTGTTAAACATCAGCTTTCCAGCACATATGGGAGATTGTAAATAGCATGTAAACGTTTGAAATGAGGCCAGCCTTGTAGGGCACTTTTGCATCTTTGCTTCTGTTAATGAAATGGCTAGATTACAAAGAAAAGGCAAGTAACCTTTGGAGGACACCTGAATGAAACATAGGCAACATCAGCTGGAAAAGAGCAAAGGGCTAAATGTGCTTTGCCAAGTAAGTTATTTTCATGTTTGCCACGTAAAAAGAAACAAAGATTTAATATGAGTTGGCTTGTAGATACTTTTCTGGGGAAGTTTTGAGGTGCTCCAATAATGTGTACATGTACAGTTCTATTATTAGAAGAACATGTGTGCTAGAGTATACTAGTAAAAGTAATTTTTTTATTTTCTATTCTGAGAGCCCTTTAAGTTTCAATATGAGAAGTAATTAATCAGAGGCTTTCACATGCCTCACATGAACATGAAGATCCTTTCCCTTGGCAAGATAAATGGAAGGAAGCATTCCTAACTGAGCTCTCCACTTTGCCCTTGTTCTGCTACCTAGGCTCTTGTCCGCTTGTTCTCCAACAACTCTTGATGTTTTTAATCTTTTTTACCAACTGGAAAATTGTGCTGATTGATATGCTTGTAGTTTGGTTACTGAAGTTTCAATTACTGCCAAACCATTTTTTATTTTCTACCCTACCCAGTTATTGCCATACATTTTTACTTCCCACAGGTATGGCTTTACTACCCACTGCCTATTGCTTATTTACCAAAATCTTCCCAAAATTCTCTCCTGGCAAATTATCCTACAGTGTACAGTTAGACATCCCTCAAGCTGTCTGCCTCTGTGCCAACACAGACATCTTTGTTCTGGTACTCACTAGAAATCTGGGTGCCTTATTTTGGGTATCTAATTTGTGAGGTTCTATTCATAATTATTTGGCCCTATCTGCTCATTACTAAACCCAGAAAAACTATTCTTGTACTATATTACTTAGACCAGGATAACTCCAAATTAATGACTTTCAAGATATGACAGTATATAATCTTATAAATGAAAAAGTGAATATTTTTAACGTTTCTCCAATAAACCTGAAAGAGTATTCTTTTCACAGATATTTATGCTGTGCTAGTATTAAGAGATATCTTTAACAAAGCATGACTTTGCCATCAACATAAATTGATAATGCAATTACATATATTTATATAATATGTTTTGTATAGAGTTCCAAATAAGTTTTGATATTTAACCCTATATTTTTTCTACAATTAAATTAAAAACGTTTTTCTACATTACTTTGGAGCTAGATCTGATATCAAAGTAAAATATAAAATTAATGAAATTAAATAGTTCATAGAAAAAAACAAATTTTATTAGACTAAACATCTATGAAACCATTTTAATTCCATTTAACCAAGTACAAATGTGAAGATGTTTATTTCCCTCAGTGCTCTACTGTAACAGAATCTAGGACTGTAACTGTGCAGAGAAAAGGGTTTAGGACTGTGGAGGTCTGCCATTCTAGGACTGACTCAACTTCAGACTCAACTTCAAGTGAAGTATGTAATTTTAAGATGATTCATTATTTGTTTACCCATTACACAGTTCTGTTTGTAGGTAGACAGCTCAATCAATTTTGTGATTTAAAAAAAATATTATTTTGAAAAATTTATTTAACTTTTATTTTAAGTTCAGGGGTACAGGTGCAGATTTGTTACACGGGTAAACTTGTGTCATAGCTGTTTTTTGTAGAGATTATTTCATCCTCCAGGTATTAAGCCTGGTACCCATTAGTTACTTTTCCTGGTCCTCTCCCTCCTTCCACCTTCCACTCTCCAAAAAAGGTCCAGTGTGTGTTGTTCCCCCATAGCTGTTTTTTGTAGAGATTATTTCATCCTACAGGTATTAAGCCTGGTATCTGTTAGTTACTTTTTCCTGGTTCTCTCCCTCCTCTCACCTTCCACCCTCCAAAAAAGGTCCAGTGTGTGTTGTTCCCCCTCTATGTGTCCATGAGTTGTCTTTGATCTTCAATACTTGATTTAATGTTTAGAGATTCATTTAGCAACATGGAAAGTATAAATTCAGAATGTTTGATGTAATTATTATAAATTAATTACATCTTAGGTGACTTTTAAAAGCTGGAATTTAATGCACATATATGAATGGGAAAACCTAGTTAATATACAATAAAATTATATGGGAATTACTTAAAGTTCGGCTATAAATGTAAATTACATTCTTATTAGCATATAAAACTTTCAATATTGCTGTTCTCAAGATATTTGGGTATTGCCATAAAGCATAGTTACAGCCAGAGTTAAGGTTTTTTTTTATTTAAATAACAACAGGATTATTTTATGCCTTCATTTTAAAAATGTATTAATTTCTTTAAAAAATTATATTAAGTGGAAATTTAGTAATTAACATTATCAGCATTGCCTAAAGATTTTGTCACAAACATAATGACATTTGTAGGTACACATATACAAATATATATATGTATCTCATGCAACATGTACATACCAATAAAAATTGATCAATATATTAATATCAACTTTTAAACTTTTTGCCACTTGATAATCACATAAATTAGGGTCTATTTCCATTTGAAAATACCAAAATGACTAAAATAGAAAAATTGAGATCATAAGGTTTTAATAGTACTAACATTTAATGACAGGTGTCCATAACAATTTTTTTAGCAAAAAATAAGAAAAAATAAATAACTTACTTAAAATTAAATAGATATTTACAAATTAAATACATAATCATTATGATACTTAAAACCTTCCCTTTTACTTACTTTTACAAATAAATCTGTAGGCTTAGTCAAGATATTTTCTTATTCTTACAGAAAGTAAGGTTATATTTTACTAATCAATTGAGAAGCATAAAATTATTCTTAATCCATATAAAATGTAAAAAATAGTGTATTTTGCCTATATTATTACAAAATGTACAGTCAAAATACATTATGCTCACTAATCACTAGTTTACACAAATTTGCTATCAAATTTTATTTTCAAGGTACAAGTAACTGAACTACTAGTAGAAAATCAACAGTGGAAGTCACAGTTGAGCTATAAATTCTATAGACCTGTGTGGAAAATAAATTCAACAAAAAAATTATGACAATAGAGAAAAATTGCATAAATATAATTATAAGACAGAAGAGTCTTACACGTTTATAATGTGCAAGGCAAAATTTTTGATACTGCTTTGCTTTTGTGAATAAAAATTTCCACCCTTATGCTTTTCTTACTCATCTTTGTTCCCTTTTCTACTTTTCTGGTCCTCCCACCTCTTTAATGCTGTCAACATATCCGGAGTTTGAATTTCAAATTCTCCTCTCTCTGTAGCCCTTCCTTTGACAATTATGATGCTATATTAGACAGGGTTAGGTTGAACCTGACTTGGTAAACAGTTGCTCACAGAATACTGCTCACAGGAGGAGTCCTGAAGAATCTGTTTTTTTCAAGAATACCCAGATAAAGGCAAAACTTTGACAAGAGAAAATTAACTGGGGATGTCATTACTCCCCTTATAACAGCTGGACACAGGTGGACATTGTAGTTGCTATTAATAATTTCTCAAACCTTATGCCTTTGTAGTGTTCCATTAAAATATAAAGTCTTCTGCTGGATTATTCAAATGACCATGCTTAGGTCACAAGGCCATGGCCCGGCTGTCCTGAATAAATAAAAGGCAAGTGTTTGTTCTTTTAAGATCGATGGAACCATGTAGTCTCCTAATTTTCAATCTGTCTGTTATTGTTTTCTCCTGCAATTCCTAATTAGCACTGAAATTCATTATCCTACACTGATAACTAATATCCTAATGATTTCTATCTTCTGACATCTTGATATTCACTCACACTTGGTTTTACATATTTAATTAACCTTTACCTGAGGTAGGTCTAGGGCACATAATCATAAATCATAATTACATAAATTATGTCCTGGCCGGAGAGAAGATCACAATCAATAGGGGAGCTCAGACAATGAGCCATTCTCATTAGACACACTATGTCTAATCAGAGACATAGTGTGATATCAATGCAGATGAAGAATGATTCAATGAAGGATATATTAAAAGGCATCGTAATTATTTCTACATTATTGACCCCCTCCTTGACCTCACTGCCTCTGGTCCATTCATGCTACACTTTCTTGTAAGAATGTTCTTTCCATAGTACAGCAGTGGTCATACTGCTTTCTGTTCTAAGATCTTAATTCTTCCTCTTTTACAAAGATAGAATGAAATCTATAGTCTTTCTCATTAGATCTAAAGTTCCACAAGATTGGGCCGCCATTGACAATTATAATTTTTCTTCATGTTAATCAAAATTGTTTTCCTCCAGTCCAGGCACACCAAAATTTTACACTAATTATAATATTCACTGAGTTAATACATTTACTCACATTTTGCACTCTATATCTCTCTTAATTGTTCCTGTAAAAATTCTATAAATATTGATACTTCAAATGTTCCTGATGATTTAAAGTCGTTCTTTCTTGCCTTGGCATGAGGAATTTTCTTAGTGTTATCCATTAGCTGCCCATTATCCATTACCCATTTAGCACTTAATCATTTGTTGTAGGGACAGTAAAATATTTTCTATTTCCTGTTCAAGATCTCATGCAGTTAATAGATACTACAAGTTTATAGGTCTCAGAATTCAAAAGTAAATTAATACTTTTCTCTCTGCTTAACATACTAGTTTATCATTTCATATTTTTTCATAGAATGTCAGTTTAAAGTATAAAAGTAAACTGTCCAATGAACAGCAACAGGGTTTTTTGATAAAAGAAAAACAGTACGTTTAACAATGACACTTTTGCCAATTTATAAATTTTGTGAGTATAGGACACAGCATCTCAAATATAGCTAATCCATTTTTAATTCAATTATGTACTCTTTTATGAATTTTTAATTATCTATTATGAAAATGTCTACCTAGCTATTTTATAATTAAATTAAATTGAATTACCTGATCAATTTTAGATTTATAAGAACCTGATCGCAAATCTGTATCAAACTGTTTATATAGAAGTATAAGTAGAAAAAATGTACTATGTTTGGATACTTGGGTCAATCCTACTTAAGTTTCTTTTTTTTTTCCTTTAAGTAAAATCAATGCAACACAGTACTAGGAATTATATATTCATTGCTTTTTCAAACTCTCTTTATTTTTCAGAAAAAAATTAAAAATAAAACAATGTGCAAGTATAAAGATGGAGAGTACATAAAACAGAGTGTTTTATTGCTTTTTTAGAATCATCTTATGCCTGACTTTGGAAAATGCTGAACACTAAAAACCATTGTGTTCTAAAAAATTGTACAGGCTGTAAATTTAAGCTCTTTGCATTTCCTTACTTCTGTGTTTACTATTTCCTCTAGGAAAATCACCTGTGCTTTGTTTTCTTCTCTTTTAATCTCTTTTATTATTTATTCTTCCTATTATGAGGTGTCAAATCTTTCATTTCTTTCTTTGCCTTTTTTTCCCACTTTCCTCAAATAACACAGATTAATCATATTGTAATCTTCAACTCTCTTTCCCAAGGCTGATTTTCTCTTCTCTCTTTATTAACCTCTTCCTTCCTCACCTTAATCCATGGCAGTATAGATGGCCCCCTCCCCCTTCCCCTGGGCCATCAGGGTACAGGATTTTCTCTGATGATTACCGTCTTCATTGTCAAAATAAGTGCTCTTTCCTCAGCCTAATTTTGCTTAACCCTACTGCAGTATTTATTGCCTACCTATGAAATAGATTGCGTATTTTGGCTGGTACTATTCTTTCCACATCTCCTCCTGTCTCTTTCAACATGATTTGTTGGTGATGCTTTGCAGTGACGCTTCTCCTACATAATGAAATATATTCTAACTCTTCAGAATTTTATTATAAATACAGGTCTTCATTAACCAGTGGAACCCAACTCTGGGTAATTTATTAAATGTACAAACATATCACATGTACACACATATGTATGTGTATATGTGTGTATATATGCATGTATGTATGTGTGCATAAATGTGTATATATACACATGCACATATAATTAAAAGGAGTATTTATCAGAAGGATATTGAGGGAAAAAGCTGAAGAGGTTTCAGAAAGGACAAGGTATAGAAAAGTTGAGAACAATTAGCAGGAACTATTGATGGTCTCTTCAGATACTGCCATTCCCATGAGTCTCTTCCAAATATTTCTTAATTTATATGTTCTTTACCTAAAGATGCACATTTTAGGAAGCTAGCATCTGATTTTCAAAACTAAGTTCAGGAGAAGTGACACATTTTAACACCCCCCCCCAAAATTTAGTATCTAATGGCTAAATCACACAAACAAAATTCAGATGTTTTTAAGAGAAAAGGAGAAATAGACACTGGATAGGCAGGAATAGCAGCCATCCACGGTATATGCCTTTCTTTGTTCTCTCAGAAAACACCCTATCTCTGAGAGGATGTACAGAAGGAGCAAAGTCAGGGAGACTAACTAAAGCAGTGTTCGTGTTCTGGAGTCACTGGGATGCAGAGTTGCGTACATCCTTCCATCTCTACTCAGTGGCACAACATAAATGTGGCCAAACCACACAGTGATAGTATCATAATGGATATTCATTTATTAGGTACCACACTAAATGCATTAAATTGAAGCCTCAAGAACACAGTTTATTTCCCAGATCTTTTTGATTGTATACTGCTCTTTGTCCTAAATCATCTTGCGATTTCCTCCTAAGGGACATATTAACAGATAAGTAAGGAAGCAAACAAACTATTTTTAATATGAAGAATTCCTCCATTTGGATCATATATTCAACTTATATAAATGTAAATATAAACATATATATCATATATATGATACATATGATATATATATCATATATATATATGATATATATATATGTAGAGAGAGAGTTGTGGTGGCCTTCTCTTCAGGGTCAACTACACTGCAACCTTAACTGGATGAAGCAAATAGTGTTATATAAACAATTATCATTGATTTTAGTGATTTTTTTTATTTATAAAGAAATCTTTGCCTACTATATAATATAGTTCAGATCTTTGAAATCAACCACCAATTTCTCCCATCTTTGCTATTCAGAATTAGGAAAGGGCATAGGAGGAGAGAAGGACAGAACAGATGAAGCTGAAGCTCCACCCAAGGAAGGATGGGGTCTGGATCTCTTAAGCGTGGCCCCAGGTGGGAAGCCAAGTGGCTGTTGGGATACAAAGACTATCAACTCCGTGGAATTGTCTCAGGCATTGCCGGAGAGAAACAGTGCAGGTTCTAACATATTCTAGAGATAATCTTTACTGGTTTCTTTCCGCTAACACATATGTGAGAGATGCACAGATTCTCTAACTACATGACTAAGGAAAAATTGAAAATCTGATTAATTTTCCACCTGATTTTACCAAGTAGTTGACCAATATTTTGGGATTATGCAAGTGTACATATTTAAATTTTAAATATAATTTATGATTTTAAAACAATTTACAGCAATTCATTTTTTGTGCAGCGCACTAATAGTCAACCTTTAAATCACGTTTTATACAGAGGTATTTTTGATTTTTTAGAGATAGTTGTGTTTTTAATAAAGTCTGCATTTTTAAGTATTGTACAATCTCTTGACGTACCTTTATCTTCTTAAGGCAGAAGTTAAATGCATTCATGAATAATTTCTTACAATTTTAAAGAGCTGCATATATCATATAAGAAACAAAATTTTTAGCATGACATTAAAAAAACAATGTGCGATAGTATTAAAAGTTTTTAGAAAAAAGGAATTAAAAATATTTTCAACATTTTTGCTAATAATTTTAATCTTTCATATCACTTCATAAATATTCATGATAAAGTACATATTCATTATTTCCAAAAGCAATATAGCTGCTGAAAATTAATTATGAACATTTACACCAAAAATAGCCTGTCCATGAAATTTCATTCAGATGTTGTATCATTTTATGATATTCTACCTTTTGTGTTTTTTTAGATCTAAATAATTTGAGTTTGTCTTCTCCACTTTTTCTTAAAGCAGCCTTTAAATTATCACTACCAATATGCAACCATTTGCTGCTAGACTAAATTGCCTACTGAGTAGATTTGAATATGCATTATGGCATTTGGGAGAACAAAATAATAAAATCAATATGAAAGAGATTGATTCCCAATATTTATTGTAAGAAATAATGCCCTCACTAAAATTTGTGTGGGAGAGAGGAATTAACATACAACCATCTTCATGAATTGGCTTAGTTCTTGCCTATATTGCTCCAAAAGTAGCACTAACAAAAGTTTGCAATTATATTTTTCTTTTCCTTTCTATACTGCACGCTATTGAAAATATCACACACATAATTGTTGCCATTCTAAAACAGAACAAAAGCCATCTGTTCATGATTATTTTGTATGATAGAGAGTTGCTCCTAAGAAAGACTCAGGCCCCTTGATATACATAATAGAAAAATACTCTTTCACTACAGGGAAATTACCGCACACCAAACCATATCCATTAATGTGTACCCCGTAGAATTGAAATTGATTATTATTTTAATGTAGCAATGACGGCAGTCTATACATTTTCCTAGCCACATCAATTCCATTGAATACATTTGAAGTTTGTTCTCACAAAGACCATGAGCAAAGGAAGAACTAAGGACAATTACATGACACACTTTAAGGAACATATAATTTCACAGAAGCAGTGGTGGAGTAGGTGCGAGGAATTCTGTGAGTAGCCACAGACAGCTTTAGGAGTCTGCAACCTCAGACTACATATCAAGAGATCATCTACTACACTGTCAGGCAGACAAGTCGTAAAGAAGCAATTACTGCCAAGATAAAATTTGACTGTTTCAGCAAATACAGTGCCTTCAAACTTTACACAGCCTGGAAAACATTTTTAAATATAAAATTTAAAGATGAAGGAATAACTATAATGCCTTTTAAAAGTATTAAAATAGGGACTTGTCACAGCTCTGTGTTTGTAAAATTGTAATTTTTGTAATTTAAAATTAAAATTTAAAACTAACATTTTTCTTCTTTCAAAATATGTGAACAAAAAGTTCCATCCTCTTTTAGTAAGAGGAGGTAGAGATAATTTACATAGTAGACACAGGAGAAATAATATTTTGTTGATCTGTTTAACGAAGTTAGCAAAAACCTGCCTAAAGAATAACCCAGAGAAAGATACTAGATCTGGCTAAAAGCATAAACATAAGCAGCTGAAGTCACAGTCTTTAACCTAATGATACAGTAAGGAAATTAGCTCCCTTTCTTCGAAGATCAGTTTGAATCATGCTAAAACTGATGAGACCAAAGGTTACTGGAGAGCTTAGGTAGCAACTGGCAAGTGATACTTAACATTGGTGATCACTTAAGCTTTAATGTACTGTAATGTAATTCACATAAACCAAAGCTCTTCGGAGTCCTCAATAATTTTTAAGAGCATAGGAGAGTCCTGAGACCAACAAGATTGAAAACCACTATAAGCCTAAGATAACAAATGCAACAGGCACTTGAGTCCAAGCCCAATAATAATAATAATAATAATAATAATAATAATAATAATAAATACTTAGAAAAGCAGAACTCATGCCAGGCATGCGGATATCATTTCTCCTTAGTCATATGATCTTAGGGCTTGAAGAAAAATTAGAGCTCGTTCTTAAACAATTCATTTTAAGGTTGGAGAAACAGACCCAGAATACAAACAACTGCATATTTAACATTGTGAAAAGAACCCATAATTCTTGACCCTAGGGAAATACTGTTTGAGTTACTCTGCATGGCTTTATTTGGAATTTATATTTTATTTAGCTTTAAACGGACATTATTTCCCCGTTTTGATCAACACAGAATAACTGAAAGCAACAAGACCAATTTTCTTATTTGTTGGAACATTTCTTTAGTGTATACATGTATAGTTTTTTGGCCACATGCCTGCTACTTTCTTCATTTAAACAAATGTTTTAGAAGAGGCAATAGAACACTTGATTGTTATTATATTCCAGTTTCATTGTTTCCTAATACTTGTATCTCTGCTAACGTGAAAATATGCAAACATTCACAATGTCAGACACCCAAACTACCAAAGTAGTAGAAAGCATAATCTCATCAACTTCAGTAAAATTACAGAACACCTTGTCGTTCCACTCAGGAACCGTCTCAAGTGTCAAAGCCCTTGGTATTGCTTTGTCACTTTACTTAAAAAGTGTACTTGCCTGTGAGTCCATTCTTTCTGACCTCTTTATCTGTGGTATTAGCTTGTCATTTTTTGAAAGAAACTAAAACTAAACAAAGAGAGCTTATTGTCATGGAAGCCAAACCCTAAGAGAATTCCTTAGAGAATTAACCAGTGGAATTTTTAAATAAATGTGGGGATGAAGAAAGAGTGGGATCTCTTCCTCCCTCCAAGTTTCCAAATATTTGTTTTTCCCGACTTGAGAGATTCTTATGCCTTTAAAATTGTTTAGTTCTAGCTTTACCCAGTTGATTCTTATTATATATCTAGGAACCAAGTTGTATTCATTTAAAAAACAACAATATGATGCAGTCTCTTATTATGGTTGTCATTTGAAATAAAAATGCACTTCATTCCCTCTTCAGCTTTCAAAAGATGCCTTATATGATGAATAGCCCCTTCTATGTTACATTATGCATATATAGGGAATGGACAATTTTTAAAACTACCTGAGTTTTTATAAATGTTGTTGAGTTATTTAAATTATTGCTTCACCCTGATTATATAACAGAGCCATGAAGACTTCATTTTCTTCTCTCATCCTCTTTTAAACAGGTAGTCTGCTTAAACAACAATTTTATATCCTTGCAATAGTTTGCTGAGAATGTTGGTTTCCAGCTTCATCCATGTCCCTACAAAGGACATGAAGTTGTGCACATGTACCCTAGAATTTAAAGTATAACAATAAAAAAAATTTATATTATTTCTACTATTAAAAAATCCTTTAGAGGTTGATTTATTTTCAAATATATTTTGATAACAAGATGATGGTTGTCAGTACCATGTTACCACAAAAATGTTTAATTTAATTGAACTTTTTGTAATAATATTTGCAGTATCAGATTTTTATAAAATTCTAAAGATTTTTCATATTCCAGAGCGAGACTCCATCTCAAAAAAAAAAAAAAAACTGAAACTGGAGGGAGGACTACTTTAGTATTTATTAGGTAAGTCAGTTTTTTTTTTTTTTTTTAAGACACAGCCTCGCTTTATCGCCCAGGTTGGAGTGCAGCGGCGCGATCTTAGCTCACTACAAGCTCCGCCTCCCGGGTTCCCGCCATTTTCCTGCCTCAGCCTCCCCAGTAGCTGGGACTACAGCCGCTTGCCACCACAGCCGACTAATTTGTATTTTTAGTAGAGACGGGGTTTCACCGTGTTAGCCAGGATGGTCTCCATCTCCTGACCTCGTGATACGCCTGCCTCGGCCTCCCAACGTGCTGGGATTGCATGCGTGGGCCACCATGCCCGGCCTAGGTAAGGCAGTTTTAAATTAGTTAAACGTAGGAAGTAAAGCTACTTTGAACTGATCCTTTGACAAGACATTCACTTCTCAGCAGAGTGCTATGAGGGACTAATAAATTATTAAATTTTATTGTGCTAAAACTAAAGTGAATTTCAAATGTGAATAACAAAAATTTGTCCCATCCAAAGCGTAAGTGTACATGTTTCTTCCTTTAATGTTAGATTAGAACTAACTCAGTGTTATCATTAAGCTATCACATTTAGGAAATACTTGCTCTTCAAACCAAACTTTTTTTTAAATTTAACTTTTTCAGCCAAGTTTAATTCAGGATAGATGAATAGTGGGCATAGAGTGGTAAAATATATGTCTCTTTCATAATGAAAATATTAATTTTACAGTAAATTTACTGACTATGTTAAATGCAATGTCCCATAACCAGAATTTCTATAATTCACTTACATCAGTTTTAAAATACAATTTTATACAGTATACTGTATTGGGATACTTTTATACACATTTTTTCAATTTTCATAATTCTATGAAAGAATAATTTCTGTCTAACAGATGAGGAAGTAAGATTTTCAGGAGATTGCATGACTTTCCCAATTATACTGTGAATGAGGTGCGAAGGTGATGTTGAAAGGACCACATTTCCTGATTTCAAAGCTGTCACTTATTTCAACCTGCCGTAGGCTCCTGCATAGCTGTGATTCTCAAGCATATCAGCATACTGAGGTGCCTTCAACAATGCCAAATAACACTTTAGGTTATTATTATTTCTATTGTACCAAAAAGCAAGTTCAGATCATAAGTGTTGATAATTGAAGTTTTTATGTGATTATAGTTCATGGTGCAGACTGAATTGTCCATAGATTACCTTTAATATTTAGATTCTTAAAGTTGGGAAGAAATCCCAGAAGGTTAAAGAGTTTAATTGATATGTATATCATTTTTTTAAAGCTGCATTTAGACAATTTCCCTGTACATGACAACTCAATGCTTGTATATTTCTGAAACCACAAAAAAATAAAAAGACAAGTGGACATAACAAGGAGAATGCATTTTGCCATTGCCGTCTTCCAAAATAAGACTGGCAGCCTGCCTGAGTGGGCTGCAGGCCTCCTCTAGGGGGCGCATCATTGAGGGTGAGCCGGTGGCTGTGAGCATCTTTTAAGGTCATTTCCATGTGAATAGGCCTGAAATACGAAAGCAGTGTTAACCTAAAAGTTTCCAAATAAATATGGGTTCATTTACACTCAACATATTTCCAAAACATATTTGAGGTGGCCTATGATAAAAGCTACAAAAGAGTTAACATCAATATAATGGAAACAGAAAATAAAAGCCACAAAAAGGAAGAAGCATGCATGCCAACTGTGAGGAACACATATAATTATTGCATAGCTCTGAATTGCCTAGCCTTCAGGAAAAGGAAAAAGTTATGGGAATGTCAATATCCAAAAGAGGAATCAATGGTAAAATATATCTGAACTCCAACATTATTCTGTATCTCTACCCTTAGACTCTTGCAGCCTCATAACTAAGCATTCGACTCAACAGATAGTAATTAAGCATATGCTATTTGTTTGAATCTGTTCTACATCCTGGTAATACAGGAATTTTCAAAGCACAATAACAGTCTATTCCATTATAAAATTCACAAACAGTTCATCTCATAAATCTGACCATGTTGTTCGCCTTAAATTTAAGTTCATTATGGACCCTTCCTCATCCACAGAGTAAAACTTACTGTGGAGCTTAGCATCCCAAGTTTTTTACGACCTACCCTGAGAGATCCTTTTCAACCTCAGCTCCTGCTAGTGTTTCTTACTAGCCACATGGAACTTCTCTCTCTCAACTGCACATAACTTTTCTCACTGTTTACTTTTCACATCTGTGCTGTTGCCAAAGCTCTAATATCTGTCCCTAAGGCCCTTTCCTGTTCTTCTACATACAAATATTTACTTATGATGAAACACCTTGCCAAATGCCACTTCTTGCTATAGACTTCTTCCTGAGTCTCCAGTCTTCCCTGGCTCCTCATAGCGTCAGCTTTTCCTATATCTTTCTGTGACTTGACAGTGAGTTTTCTGACAGCAGTAGTGAATGTCCAGCATCCAGAACAGACTCTGGCCCCCATGGTAGTCGGCCAATATTTCTTTGATAAATAAATGAACAAAGAATGAGCAGTGACTCTTCAACAAAAGTATTTTTTCTTCATGCTAAATTCTAGCAAAACATTGTCAGATGGGTTCTTATATTTGGGCCATTCATCATCATAACAGAAGTGTCATTGGTAAGTTTTCCTAAAATGTTAGGGTGATTTTCAAATATCCTAATTTTATAAAAGTCCTCTAAAACTTGAGGGAATAATTATAAAAGCAAGGATGATGATCATTCTGAGGGCTGAGATAATGAATTTCAAGAATGTACCATTTCAGAGATCTAATCAGCTATAAGGCTAGAACTCAATGTATCAGGAGGAAGGGATGGATGTCAAGGCCCTTCTTTTAGTCTCCTCTCACACTGTTATAGGGAACTACTTGAGACTGTGTAATTTATGAAGAAAATAGGTTTAGTTGACTCACAGATCCACAGGCTGTACAGAAGCATCACTGGGAGCCCTCAGGAAACATACAATCATTGTGGAAGGTGAAGGTGAAGCAAGTCACATCTTACCGTGGTGGAGCAGGAGAGAGAGAGAGCCAAGGGGGATGTGCCACACACTTTTAAACCATCAGATCTTGTGAGAACTCACTGACTATCATGAGTACAGCAAGGGAGAAATCCTCCCCCAGGGTCCAATTACCTCCCACCAGGCCCCTCCCCTGATATGTAGGGATTACAATTTGATGATATTTAGGTGTGGACACAGAGCCAAACCTTATCAGCCCTCAACTTCCTCTCTTAAATATTACTGAGTTTTTGATGGTTCGGAGTCAAGGCCATTCTCTTGGTTGTGGGACTTTCTGGCATTAGTGCCCCATGCTGCTGTTTCAGGACAAATGTTTGGGTAGCCAAACTATCAGTTTGGACACTGCATTACAAGAGTTAGGGAGCTGAATCTGTAGATTTGATCTCAGATACCTGCCTAGGGGAGTTACCTATAAACCCATGAAACCCTTCCTGAGAAATTATCGTTAACAATCACCAGAACACTTTAATTCCACGGAAGCAGTTTTAAAAAAGCTTAAAAACAAGATTTTTCTCAAAAAGCATCATCACATTTACCTAAGAATAAGTAACCTTTGATTCAGATCCCCCAGAATTTTATAACATAAAACTCTGAAAGGATGATTTGACTTGGATTTTTTTTTCCTTCAAATCAAGCCAGCTTCCTCAGCAATAGAAAATACATCCCAAGGACTCTCTGTCTTTGAACTGGCTAGTGTACCTGCCAGGAGAATTTAACTGCCAAATGTTTCCATAGATATGTGAAGAAACTGGCTTACTTTGTAAAACGATTTCATATTGACTATTAAATTAAGTAAAGCATGTAAAAAAAGAAAATTGCAAATTTTGAGAGAATGTGTATGTTGTGTCTTGACAGACAGAAATAACTGAATTTTTTAAGCTCATGCTAATAAAATAACATCACTGCTGTAAAGGAGATAGCTATGGCAACAACATATTTGGCAAGAGGAAGGAAGTTAAGCTCATCTAAAAACTATCAGTTCGTTAAGAACTTGCATTGCTGATAAGGGGCTAAAATAGCTCAGACTTATGCCATGAGAAACTATGCTTTGATGTGCTATAAGAGTATTCCTGGCTACCATTGTTCTTGAAATAATTTTAAATTCCTATGATGTACAAATATCAGACATCTATTTTAAACAGATTTAATTTTAAACAATATAATTTTTAATTGTTTCAAATACTGTTGATGGATGGATTTATGTTAGTTTTCCTGCAGGAGTCCAGCACAAGATTAAAAAAAAAACAAAACTGTCAATAGCAGAGAAAAACAAATAAAATGAATTTATTCCTTATATAAAACTTAAATGTGTACTGTTTAAAAGGAAGATAGATACATAAATAGAAAAATATTGTTTTGAAAATGAGTGCATTGCTAACATAGAATAAATTGATGATTAACCTTAAAAAAACACCAGCCTCCGGCCGAGCGCAGTGGCTCACGCCTGTAATCCCAGCACTTTTGGGAGGCCGAGGCGGGCGGATCACGAGGTCAGGAGATCGAGACCATCCTGGCTAATACGGTGAAACCCCGTCTCTACTAAAAGTACAAAAAATTAGCCGGGAGTCCTAGCTACTCGGGAGGCTGAGGCAGGAGAATGACGAGAACCCCGGAGGCGGAGCTTGCAGTGAGTCGAGATCGCGCCACTGAGCTCCAGCCTGGGCGACAGAGGGAGACTCCGGCAAAAAAAACAAAACAAAACAAAACAAAACAAAAAAAAAACCAGCCTGCTGTCTGGTTCTGCCATTTCTTTTAAACCTTTAGTCTTGTCACTCTTTCTTGTATACCCACCCTCACTATAAGGGAGCCATTAACCCAAATATAAAAGAAACACAAATGTAATAATTACAGCTACTGCTTGTATGGCACTGCTATAAGTACTTAGCATGCATTTACTCATTTGACATTTATGACAGCCCTATGAGATCGGTGTTATATTATCACTACTCTGTAAATGAGGCAATTGAGGCACAATGATTAAGTAATTTGCCCAAGTTCCAGAACTAGTACATGCAGGAGCCACTCTGGCACCCTGACAGTCTGGTGCTAATGTCCTCATGGTCATACATGGTCATACATGGTAGAGGTGAGGTCCCTGTTAGACTTTTGCTTTCTTATCCATTTATGCCAGGGAAGCTCACTTGCCCATTTTTGATAATGTTAAGTCACTGCATACACACTCCTGGAAAACCCAGGCCTTTGCATTTATCCTCATAATCTTCTCATTAGTGACTAATGATACTTATCTGGTTTTACGTCCTTAAAATTTGTCAAAACTTCTTTTATCCAAAGTTTGGGTATTTCCGAGTAGCAGCTTGAAGCAAGAAACCCTAGATCATGGGCTATGCCTTCTTTCCCAAAATGGCATCTTCAGTTAATAGGTACTCACTATCCCTGATTAATAGTTTAATCTTTTTTTAATGAGGATGTTCTCAGAACCTTGTTTTATTTTCAATGATCAGAGATATATAGATACATATATATGTGTATGTATATACATACATACATATTTAAAATAGTATAAAATATGGAACTGCATCACAGAAAGAAGCCATAACGTTTTTTGTTTCTGCTTTTTATGTTGAATCTATCCTAATGATTTGTTATTTTTTTAAATATTTTCAGATATCATTACTTATTTTAGTATTTGACAGCTCAAAATACCACAAGGTAAATGGAATAGACATTTGTTCTCTTGTTTCACTTATGCTGAATACTGTTTATAGAAAAGACAATACGCCCTATGCTATTCCTTTTTTTTCTTAGGAAATAAGGTACTTAATCAGAGGATATCAATGACTGGGTTTTTCTAAATTCCCAAGCAATGAAATTAGTAAATAAAAAGTTAAAAAAAAACCCTAGAATTTAAGATGGGGAAGAGGAATTCTAGGTTTCTTAAAAAAAAAAAAAAAAAACTCTCCCAAAATAATGACAAGTAGAATGTACCTAAAAACCTCAAATAAAAAGAAATTGTGCCAATGCCAATCTGTTATTTTAGCAAACGTAATAAGTAAATTGGAGCTCTGCACAGTTAACATAATCAATGTTATGCAATCAATAATGAAAACAGGAAAAACACTGACTAAACCTTGCCATGGTCAATTTAGTCCCATCATCTTGACACAATCACATTGGTTTTCTAAAACAGTTTTTTTCCTGATGGATGCTCTGAGAACATAAAATAATCCATTTAAGTCTCTGTGGTAACAATTTACCACACTCTGCATTTGAATTTAAAATGTTTATGCATCTTCCACTAATTCCTTTCTAGGAGGACTTACTTGGTGAAACATAATAAACTAGGGTTAATCAGTATAATTAACACAATTTCCTTTTGATATGCATGTTGGAGACATTTTGAACACCATTGGTATTTAATTGACACAAAAAAATTTTGCCATACCTACACAATTTTTTTTTCTCAGAAATGCACATTGTTTGAATGTGTGATTTAGCCTTTTAAAATGAGGAAATTTGATGACTGAATGTCAGCTTAAATGCAGCTTTATATTTATATTATAGATGTTGTGTACCTGGAGCAAACATAAAATTGTTGTTCCTAGGAACTTGTCTAAGAGCAAACAGATACGTACCATGAAGCAGGAAAATTATGGTCCTTTAAAATTAATAAAATATTGCCTTTTCTATAAACTGTATTCAACATAAGTAAAACAAGAGAATGGATGTCTATTCCATTTACCTTGTGGTATTTTGAGCTGTTAAATACTAAAATAAAGATACCTGAAAAGATTTTTAAAAAATAACTGGATCTGTATACAGGATATTCTGGGGCAGGGGAGGGAATCTGAAAAAAATGATTACATTTAGCTAACAGTTCTATGTACTTATTTTTTATCATTTTATTCAATGTATTTTCATCATAACAAATTTTTATACCCCATATAAATTTGTTTCCTTTACTTGATTTTTAAGCCCTCTTTATCAAAAACAGAGTGTTACTTGTCTACTTGTAGTAATGTCCCCATCAAAAGTTACCTTGCAGTAGACCAAAATGACTATTTCTGGTATCATTATAACTTTCCAAAGGCCTCTTCAATGAGCACGGCATTTCAGAGTTAAGCAGAAATGATCAAACTATAAGAAATAGCACATTATCTCATTTACTCAGGAGCAGGGATTTGTTTATCTTATTAACATAACTTATTGTTATGTTACAGTTCTCAAAATCAGAGACATGAACATTTTGATAAGGGGAAGCAACTAAGGAACTATAAAGCACTCTGAGGCCAGGTGGATTTGCAGGAGGTACTAAGAGCTTTAAGTACAAAGAAGAAAGCAGCCTAAAAAAAAGACAGATAAGAGGTAGGATATGAGCAGATCATTCTGGCTTGTCCAAAAAATAAAAATAAAAAAATAATTAAGCCAGGACACACTAAAACAGTGCAAAAGTCTCACTCCTGAATTTCTTTAGTACACTCAATTGCACAGGCATGCCATAGCAGCAAGACTCCAAAAGTCTAGATTTAAAACAAATGAAAACAAAATCAGGCCCAGACAGTTGTTGACAACCACAGTATGCTTTACAAGCATAAAAGCTGATTAGCAGTTTCTAGTTAGCCAGGGGAATTTTCTGTTCGGTTGAATTAATATGTGAAAAGCCAAGAGACATAAAATAACATGACACAGTCTCCGTGTTTGGAGAGCAGATTTGGTGGGAGGAGTTTTGGGAAATAAAGTTAGCTATACATATAATCACCAGATTTTAAATGTCCTTATCTTCTATGCTTATTTTGATGGTTCATAATGAGATACCATCTCACGCCAGTTAGAATGGTGACCATTAAAATGTCCGGAAATAACAGATGCTGGCAAAGATGTGGAGAAATACGAATGTTTTTACATTGTTGGTGGGAGTGTAAATTAGTTCAACCAATGTGGAAGACAGTGTGGCGATTCCTCAAGGATCTAGAACCAGAAATACCATTTCGCCCAACAATCTTATTACTGGGTATATACCCAAAGGATTATAAATCATTCTACTATAAATACACATGCACACGTGTTTATTGCAGCATGATTTATGATTGCAAGACTTGGAACCAACCCAGTGCCCACTAATGATAGACTGGATAAAGAAAATGTGGCACATATACACATGGAATACTATGCAACCATAAAAAAGGATGAGTTTATGTCCTTTGCAGGGACATGGATGAAGCTGGAAACCATCATCCTCAGCAAACTAACACAGGAACCAAACACCACATATTCTCACTTATAAGTGGGAGTTGAACAATGAGAACACATGGACACAGGGAGGGGAACATCACACACCAGGGCCTGTTGGTGGGTGGGGGGAAAGGGGAGGGAGGGCATTAGGGCAAATACCTAACGCATGTGGGGCCTAAAACCTAGATGATGGGTTGATGGGTGCAGCAAACTACCATGGCACATGTTTACCTATGTAACAAACCTGCATGTTCTGCACATGTATCCCAGAACTTAAATTAAAAAAAAAAATGAGTATATAAGAGCTAAAAGAGGTAGAGAAGATGTGACTTGTTTATACTAAACCGACTATTTGGCATGAAGGAATCAATCTACATACCAGTAGATAAGAGCAGAAGATTCTTGGGTTCCAAAAATTGTTTTCAGGACCTATTAGCTTTGTTACCTTCGCTAAGCTATTTGATTTTCTGTACTTCCCTGTTCTCATCTATAAAATTGTATAATAATAATTTAGTAACTCTCTATAGGGTATTGTGAGCATTAAACAAGTTAAATATATGAATCACTTAGAGCAATAAATAACTTAAAGGATACTAACAATAGCTATTTATATGAAATATACTGATTGATGCTCTTAGAGAACAGAGATTGTAGAAAACTTCCACAAATCAAAATAGAGAATGAAAGTGTCTAAATAAAGTGAGTCTGGTTTTAATATACTTTATCATTAACTCTAACTATACCCAAGATGGAAGTTTGAAAACTTGGTGTGTTTGGTTTTCCTTACCTTTCACTCCATCTATACCCAGACTCTTAATAAGCTCACTTCCCAGTGCCCTTGCCTGTATGCATGTCATTACCATTATTTTTGTTCACCCAGGCTCAAAAATGTACAATGGCTCTGATTCATCTTTCTTCTTCCTTCCTTTTGTCAAGATAGTTACCAAGATTTATTATTTCTGAAAACAAATAATCAAAACAGCATCATTAATCACTCTTTTATATCCACATTTCCAAATCTCAATCTGGGTTGTTATTGTAACATGCCTGGGTTAATGGGATACCTTCCGAACTGGTTTGCCCGTGAGTCTGTCACACTCACCCATGAGATTTTACATACACATCAGTTTAGTATATCACCCCTCTACCTACACTTTTCAGTATAATCTAATTCTAATACCTCTTCCCCTATACTTTTCTTCTATTTTATCAATTATGTCCCCTGCCCTTTTGCTAATCCTGCTCTTGTCAGTGGGTTTCTTGTTCTTGCAATCACACTGTGCCCATCTGCTTCTGGGCTCATGTTCATTTACTTGCCTGGAATGCATTATGAAATTCTTCAACCATGTAAGATATCCAAATTCTATCTATTCTTCTAGAGTCAGATCATCAACTAAATGTTTAAGGATAATTATGTATTTTGAATGCAGAATGCTTCTTTTAAATTGGCTTGAGCAAAGATTACAGTCAGAGCCCTTCTTGACTATGCAAGGCCTCAGCCTTCTGAGTTTGCAAAGCAGTCACAGATAAAATTTTGTCTTCTGTTGTACACTATGTGCAAGTAGAATAACTTTGTAGAATGTGTGCTCCCAAAACAAATAGTATTTTGAAGTCTTTTATACTTGCATTGTGTCTGTTACTACATCTCCTATGGTTTCTGGCAAATAGTAGTAGGTCTTCAATATATATTTAATTAAACTGGGATTTGAGGCATTACTCAGAATTTAGTGGAAGTGAAGAAGAATGATAAAATCACAATATTAGGATAATAAAATAATTCACTTCCATAATTCATTATTTTTATACTATGGCATAAATCCTTTACAATATACAACAAACAGGAGACAACTAAATTATGTGGACAACTTTATAATTTGTAAAATAGAGAATCCAATCCAAGACAAAAATATAAACTTGTTGCTTTTGAAACTAAAAATTTGAAACTAATAATCATGTGGCATAATTTTAAAAGAAAATGATTAGCATCCGCAAAGTTTAAAGAATGTGTTTGACATGAAAGCTTATAATTATAACATTTAACATTATAATTTATCTCAAAACAGTAACAAAAAGAATAATAGATATCTAAAATGGTTTCTGAATAATTTTCAAAGATAATACCAAAAGAAAATATGTAATGGATGGCAAAGTGGAGGCAGAAACAAGACTGAACTCTACTTAAGAAGAAAGATATACTTAGAATTAATATCTGCTTATATAATAGAATGAGACAATGACAATAAAAAATATAAAATGACTTTGACACAGAGACATTCTTCTTATCAGTGGAATGAAGCAAAGAAAATTAAGTCAGAGCCCTTGTGCCTTAAAAATTAACTACTAGGTTTACAGTATAAACAAGCAAGGCCACTATTCATTTCAGACAACTAAATGAAAGTCAAGAGAAACATGGTAGTTTTGTTGGATTTTTCATCACTAAACTATAATCCAGTTGTAATTTTTAATTCAAAAGAGATAACTTGCTAATTGTGCTACTTTCTCAATATTAAGCAAATCAAAGTTTCCTACTTAATATTCAGTATTTATAAATATTCCATGGTATCAGGTTAAGAAAGCAAAGAATTAATCAGAAATTTCCTCTTTATTTAAATAATATATATTTTCCTAGCTGTGGACACCCTAGCCTCAAAGCCCATATTTTACTCACCTTTGCATATCTTGATTAAAATGAGTGTTAAATAAATGAGTACATGAATTCATATTAAATAATGAAAGTAAATGTTGCCTCTTCTAGTAGGAAAAATATGTTAAGAAGAGTAAATTTTTAAAATACAGCACTTTTGTATGTGTTTTTCAGGGTAATATGTTTTCAAAACAATGATTGAAGAGAAAATAAAAATCTGATATCATTTAATACTCAGAAAATATATTATTAAATCTTCCAATGGAAATTTAATTAAGTTCATTGAAATGACAGATGTATTTAGAATTGTTTATTAATTAAAACTAGAGAATCATTAGTGATTCATAGCATACAAAATAAAAAGAAAAATACAAATAACAAAAGATAGTTAAGGGAAATAAAAGGTTTAACGTCTTACTCTATGTCTTGTCTACATTGCTCATTTTGATTTGTTCAAATTGACTCCATCTGTTACACTGTTTCCACAACAAAAGCCATCAGTTACACAAAGTAAGAAAGGAATGCTGAAGCCACCAAGCACAGCACACGTCTAATTTGCTCGATTTCTCATTAAGTTTTTTTCTATTGGTCTCACTCATTTAAGAGTTATTCTGGTCTGGAATGCCCTTTAGCTTCCATTTCATTCTATCCAAATCATTTTGATTCTTTAAGCCCTAATTCAAGAACCAACTTTCCTGGCTATTGAAGGACAGGTGATTCCAAGTTATTGTCATCTTCCAAGTCCAAGTTGAGATCCTCACTTAGGATATGACTTTAGGATATGTGACTAAAAAGCGTATATAACAAGAAGCTAGTTGCCGAGTTGTTGTCTGACCTGACTCCTGGCTCCATGGATATTACATTCCCACCAACATGTATGTAGTAATATCCATGGATATTACATTCCCACCAACATGTATGTATCACATATGGCCAACTCTAGCCCCAACCAGGGTGAGTAGGGCAATCTGTTCTTTATTATCTTAGCATTAAAATAATATAAACATTTATTCAGTCTACTGAGAGAAGTAGGCTTGGCTACTTCTGCTACCTTACATGTGATAATAATAATCTTACATATCACAGTAATTATAAATCACAGGAATTTATCAGTTTTTAAGTAGTAACAGAATAATCAAGAGTGGTACCTATTTATAATAATCAATAGTGGTGATTATTGTATTATCATATAGATATTTATAACAATTAACAGTGGTACCTTAGATATTTACACATTTACCTAAGCTATTGAGAAGCTTCTGCATACATTAATCATATTTGATGCTTATAACTCTTCTGTAAGAAACTGTATTTCATAGACTGGAAAATGGGCCCAGAGAAGCCAAAGAATATAACATTCATGAGGTATAAAATGGTACCAGAATTTAAGGTCACATATTCCAATGTTAAGAGTAGTGGTTTTTTCAATCCACTGTTACACCAAGTGGAACTACAAATATGAAAAGACCAAAAGTTCCATGCAGAACCAAGCCATTGTCCGAGACAGGTGTGTGCATTTACTCACTCACTCACTCATTAATCCATTGAACTAATAACAGTTTATTTGGATGTCATTACGTGCTAAGTGTGAGAGAAAGGAGTAGATATTAGGAACTTGTAGAATGGCAGAAATAAAGAATAGTGAGAGAAACAAACAACTGTACACAGTATATGAAGGGTACAGTCCTGGGTGCAATACATTTTGCCTGGAAAATCAGGAAAGATGCCTCAGAGAAAGTAGGTGGTGAAAGTCTGAGAATATATCTAAGGTATTTGGACTTTATTCTATAGAAAGTAATGAACTCATTAAATTTTAATAATCCAAGTGCCATAATCAGATTGCATTAAAAATAACTTTAGCTGCTCTGTGGAGAATGGTTTGAGGATAAATGAAATCAGACCCAAGAGACCAGATGAGAGGCAATTTCCCCTCTTGAGACAATGAGGATAGCATGGACAGAAATATATTCAGTTCAGAAGTTGAATTTTACACATATAATGCAGGAAATCATCCTTGTGATGTGAGTTTTTCTAGCACTGTGTGAATAAGACAATTATCCAACTCTACTATGTTCTAGTGAAGATACTGTTGGCCATGCAGCTCACAAAATAAGCTGAAATAATACCTTCCTTCAGGACCCCTTAGTCCCTTTGACAATTGGAGTTCCTGTATATCCTGGTCCCAAGTATGGGACCCATGTATTGGGGAGAAGATGGTTCTGAAAAGAAGGAAAAATCTACTTTCATCCCAGTACCTCTTGGCAGTTCTTAATTGAGGAGAAATAGTAAACTTAAGTGTAAGGAGAAGGGGAGTTATTCCAGTCACCCATGTTGTGATGTTGAGTCCAGTCTGAATGTTGAGAACTAACTCAGTTAAGATAGGCGCATGTATACATGTGTAACAAACCTGCACGTTGTGCACATGTACGCTAGAACTTAAAGTATAATTAAAAAAAAAGAATACAATGGAATACAGAACTTGGCCTTGTAAATCATTTTACAAAAGGGAGGAGAACATTCTTAGAAACTGAAGGGGACCTACTGATATAGAAAGACTGCAGGAGGTTAGAAAAATTCTGAAAATTGATCATCTATATGTAAAGTACTTAATAACATTTCCTTTTAACGAAGCATTCATTGTTCCATTTAGCCAAATGTTCTACATTTCTATCATAAAGTGACTGTTTCTTTTTGTTTACTTGCAATTTAGTCAATAGTTTGGCTTTTGCCTGTTCTTATTTATAATCCTGCCTCCCTTTTCTAGATGTGAGCAGATTTTCCCTTTTTATGGGCTCTGGAAAGTCTTGCTAGATGATTTCTTATATTTAATCATTTTGATTTGCAGCTCTGCTATTTGGTTTTTATATTCCTTCTTGTTTAGAGTCATGTCTGCTGTAGTTTGCTACTTTATTAGCTGTTTATTATTAGATAATAAAGGCTTCTGAATCAGAAATAAAAATTATAAATGAAAAGAAAGAAATGCCTCTCCTACTTTTTTTCCTCAATGCTCCAGTTATTTCTCTAGACATAGATGAATTAACATGGCAAAATATTTTTAATAGGAATTACAACTTAAGATTGCTCCAGGTGTTCTATTCTAGTTTATTCATATTTTGTGTTCAGTCTCCTTTCAATGCTTTCGAATTTACTTGCATTATGACATTAGCAGAAGGAAGAAGAAATTCTCTCCATTTCACCATTGTATCTTTAGCCTCTAGAACTGTGCTTAAAGCAGAGAAGGCACTGACTGAAACATTCAGTTTGACCCAGACTAGTCTCTCCTTTTACTGTATCTCTGCTAAATGCTATCTGTACTAATTTATTTGCTTCTCTCTACATTACTTCCTCATGTCTATCATCACTTTAACCACCTGATGGATTCCCATTCCATTTTTAATCCTCCATTCCAGCTGTAGATCTCCGAAGTAACTCCCTGGGTAGAGTTAATTGTTCTTCTCCACACACCCAGCATCTTGTATATTCTTCAAACTAATATTTAAGAAGGTTAATTACATAATTCCTTGTCTTCGTCATGACTAAAATCCAGAATCTTTTGGTGTGTGTGGGGGCAACATCCAAATTAGGACACTCTCATTCAAGACAAAGGCTAAATAGAAAACAACAACAACAACAACAACAAAAAAACAGGACCAGCATGAACTGGGACTTCAGATGGCTCCATATGTAAGCAAAGGGGCATATTTTAATCTGTGTCAAAATTGCCTAGCATAGTTTTAGACATACAACACGTTCTTAAAAATGACTGTGAAACAAAAATGTCTACAAATGTATGTTAAGTATTGAATAATACTCAGCAGAAATCATTAGAATTTGGTTATGAATACATGGACTTCAGACATTGATCCTATTTAATTATATTTATGAACTTTTGACAATTTACCTTTCACATTTCCCACTTTCTCATTTCTGATGTAGCAATTACATACTCTTTTATGTAACTAATAAATTGATTTATTATTGAAAAAAGATATAGGTTATATGCATAGTACAATAAGTAATACAAAAATTACTTCAAATTTCTTCAATTGTCAAAGTTAACAATTTTCTGGGTGTTGCTTGTTTTCTCTTGGCTATAGCATTCTCATAAAATAAGGGTGCTGTACATTCCAGGCTTGAAGTTCTATGATTAAAATCTCTTGGCATTAAAGGGATTAATATATGTAAAGTGTTTAGAACAAGGAATAGCACATGCTATTTAAGTGTATGCTTAATGATTATTAATGTTTATCTTATTTTCTTGCATTATGACATTAACAGAGAGAAGAATAATTTACTTTTATAAGAAACCTGCAGTACAAAGTCACCTTTATAACATAGCTTATAAGAGTTTAAGGGTATAAGCTCTGCTTGTGAGTTATGTCTTTGAAACACTATATGTGTTATCTCAGGCAATATATTTTAGCACTCTCTGTGCCTCAGTTTACTCATCTGCAAAGAGAGGATAATGGTACTTATTTTATAAGATAGTTTATGAATATTACATTAGCCGTTAAAGTTGAGACCGTAAAAAGTGTCTAGACCAGTACTGGCACAAAGAAATGTAAATAAATATTTTTTGTTAGCTATTATTTGCATAAAGTTTAAATAAAAATTTCAAATATTTTCTTAGTATTCTCTGGGTTCAGTAAAAATATTTCTGAAAATTTGAAAATGTCTATTAGAATTGAAACTTGCCTGATACTCAAGGAGATAATAATTTGAAAAATCTAATTTCTATCAAGTAAATATATATTTTGAGGAGTTTAAAGATTTTTTTTTCTAAGATAAGATGGTCAGAAATATTCCATAGTTAAATAAGGAGTTGTGGTTTATTTTGTTACTTTTCATTTTAGGGTAACAAAGCTTTATGTGCAAACATAATATTTTTTCTAAATTTAGGTTTAACATTTAAATTGCTTTATAAGCTTGTGGATATAGTTGTCTCCAAACAATTACATAGATCCCATTAAAAGCTCTTCATATTGGATGATATTCTTCTTCTTATTATTATCCACCCCATCCTTTTCCTCCAAATATTAGTTAATGTTGGTCATTTCAACCTAATAAATAATTAGTTCATTGGTAGGATAAATTACTGGGTTTCTGTAGACTTTGTGCAATTTTTAAAACTTAAAATTTTCTGTTGATTTTAGTGTCTGTGGTGTTGATGTATTTAAAGGTTTCCTCTCTTTTAATAGTTCTACCACATAATATGCATGATTAAAACAAAAAAGTGTGGTTTTATGCATAGTAAAAACTGATGCTTTATATAGAAGTTTTAAAATACATTTTTATTCTTCCAAGCACTGTCCATTTGTCTGTGGTTAATGCTAATCTCAGTTCCCAACATTTTAGTCATTAATATACTGAAAAAAATTTAAAAAGTTCCTTTGCTTTTTCAATATTTATGAATCTTTCGTCTGTCTAGTTACTTCATTTCTTGTAATACTACACATTTTATTGCACTGCGTTGAATTTTAAAAGGCCTTATATTATTATTCCTTGTAATCTGACTTGAAGCATTCACATCTTAATTTGAATGCTGGAGAGATACACATACCACAAACCAGAGGTTTCTGTCATCATTAATTACAAATAAATTAAAAGCATAAATATTTGGACTCTGAGTTATAAGAGTTTGCCTCTGTTATTGATGATAAAAATTGCTTTTAATGTGTATTGTAAAATATTGATTTGTATGACAAAATTAAACAGTTAGACATTACCTTCTATCTTTTAACTACCATGACATATTTTATAACTAGTCACTAAAAGAAAATATTTTACTTGAGGAAATCTTATAAAACATATGGTATTGTGCTTGGTATATGGTAGATGCTCAATATTTATTAACTGTTGACCATTCATTTTCAGTTTTAGTGTATTATATTGTTATTCGGGGCAATAGTCTTATATGGCCCAGGTTCCCTACATTGCAATTCGGTCTGAACCCTAGATTTCCACTTTCATGAAAAGGAAGGATACCTATTGTTCACTTCTTAATTCACAGTTTCAATTCATGCTATAGAGAGACAGAGTTTTTTAAATGAATAAACATTCTAATCATTAATAAAATTCGCTGAGAACTAAATTAGTTCTGACATTAATTGCTTTGCTGGGTGACTGCCTTTTCAGACTGTGCCAAAGTGTGCTTGAGTCACTATCATTACGTTATTCATTTGTGAGGCCTCTTCATGAAGCATGTGTCCTCTAAAGATTAATCATGAATTCAGAAAGAAGACAACCTTTGTAAAGGGCTCCACAATATGTAACCAGAAGTATATAAAAATATGTAATGTTAGATGCCAACTCCTTAACATTTTAATGAGGAAACAAATGGTTCATGTTATGCCTTTTGATGAAGTACGTTATTTTAAAAAAATCAGAATTTCAATTTATCTAATGTCAATATTCTATCAGTCTAAGCTGATAGAAGAAACATTGCATTAACAAGTACCTAAAACAAAAATAAGAAATTAGTAGATTTTATATTAAAACTGAATATTTTATATTAAAATTTAATATTTTAACATAAAATATTTTTATATTAAAATTTTTATATTAATTAAAATATTTATATTGATATTTTAATATAAAATCTATAGTAAATTTTTATATTTCCAATATTGGCATACTTTTTTCTATTTTGAATAACTAGTAAATGGATTTATTTACATCGTGAAAATATTATGCATATTGATATGTACACTTAACACACCACAAGTACACATGTGTATACAAAAAAGAAAAGCTCAATTGTCTGACCACTAGAGACTAGTGTTTTACAAATTTGAATTTGAAAGCCCCTTAACCACAGTTAAAATCCACTTAGCAAAAAGTATTTTGAAGTTAGATTTTATATTTCTATGGTCTATGTACAATGATATATTATAAATTTCAGTAAAACCTGTGAACATATTTTCTTACATTGCAAGTTCTCTAATCTCTAATAAATCTCTCCATAAAAAAGCAGTATGTGAGCACTGAAAACTAAAGAACAGAAAGCTGGGTTCTTCATAGTTCTTTTGTCTTTCTATGAGACAGCATTTTTTCATCATTCTTCTCCAACTAAAGCATTACCATAACATAATGAAAAATGTGCTCTACTGTGCTAAGTAAGAAACAAAGTATCAGATCATATAGAAATAGATTAAATAATATCAAATAATTCCTAAAGGTTTACTATGTGCCTGGCACCATACAAATCACTTTACGAGTATTAACTTGTTACTTCTCCTAACAACTCTGGATTTTATTCTCCTATTACAAAGAAGCACAGAAAGGTTGAATATTAGAAGCATATTTCCAAAGCCTATATACTTTTCCATGGATACGATGACAAAGTCTTGTAACTTTAGCATGCTATCTACATGTTGCCTCTGCTACGTTTACTTTTCACTGAAGAATATTTAAGCAGATAATTTGTTTTAATTAATTCATGTGTACTCTATTTTATTTTTATTATAAACATAGTTAGTCTTCTTTGTTCTAAAGTTATTTATACATGAGAATTTTCCCAGACTTTGTTTTGAAATAATTTCTTGGCCAATTATCTATTTGCATTTGCATATGGCAGAGTGTCTTATAAATAATAAATAGTGAATACTCATCTGTTTAATTTCATTTTAACAATAGTCTATTACAACACAGTAAACTGGGTGTCCCATGGTGCCAACCACAATAGCACTTTGTAAACAATTACATCTCTTTTTGATTTTATGAGCACTTTCCAGGTAAAAGGAGAGAATCTGCCAGTGAGCATGCAATTGTATGATTGTTATATCTGGAGTGATTCTGAAGTCCAAGTTTGGCTGAGCCAAGCAATTATACTTGCTATTATATTTGCTTGACTTCCTACTTCTAGCTTAGAATTTGGCCAAATTAAGGGTATTTGAAAATTCTTCTGGTGAATTTATTAATATTGAATTATCAGAAGAGATTATTTTTTTAAATTGTATTACCTAAAAATCTTCCATCCTTTTTTGAAAATAGGTCAAAACAACTTAACAGTTTCATGTATTTAAAACCAAATTTAATCAAGTATGAACTATACAAATAATTGGGTTGAACTTACAGATAACATAGGTAATTAAATGTAGAAAATCTCATGTTGCCATCCAGTGGTTTGAGACATTTTGTTCAACTGGGATCTGGGTTCATATATTACATTAGATTTAAGTTCTGTAAAATTTATTCTAGAAAAACAAAGGTATGACTAATTGTTCATATCCCTTGAGGCCTAGAACTACTTTTATATTTCTATTGGTTTTGACTTCTAGCACTAACACATAGTAAATACTCAAATAATAGGTATTGATATAAATTAAAAAATATTATGCTGTAGGTACACCTTTACAATCTAGTACAGAGGCATATTGTACAGTTTAAAAAATAACATATGTAAATACTCACTAGAAAGTACACATAAAAATTATAAAACTGTGAAATTATTGATAGTATCCCACATTTAATATATCCTTATAGTTTTAAAATAAATGAAAAAAGATAAGGATTAATATCAGCTTTTTATCTTCTTTTAGTTCTAAAATATTTATATTGACACTTCACTGATAATTTTGTTAGGACATAAGCAATATTTTAATATACATTTTAAATGGATATTAATTCCCAATTATGCTTATTTTATTGTTGCTGTACTAAGGAAATGACCTAAATAGATTAGATATGGTTTTAGTTTTCTATGGTATTATATTTCTGAAAAGTGCATATATCATTACCATTTTTCAGCTGTTTTTTGTTTCTTTCTCTTTTTGCTCTCTCTATATGATTTCAGGTTAAGAATAATGTATAAGCAGTTTATACATTAACAAACATTTTGGCAATAATAAACTGTCATATAAAGTGGCGGCTGTAATAAGATTCTCTCTTTCTAAGATTTTCTTCAAAAATGTTATGTCTGCTTAGCATGAAAAAGCACTCCAAACTGTCTCTCTTGATTAAGTGCCAATAAATCTCTATAGATCAGTTTACACACAAATGCTAAATGATTTTTTTAATGAGCCAATGTTTAGAAAACCTTATCTTTGCATTCCTTTTTACCTGTACTATAATGATGGTGTATGAGGAAAAAAGCTTGGACCAATATTCTGAAATTCTGAACTAGAATAATTATCCTAGCTATGTCATTTATTATAGTGACCTGTATTTTCTAGTGTATTAACTGTAAAAAATAATAAATTAGTGTAAATTGTAACAGAATGGCTGTAGGCTCTTTGCAGGAGAAGATTCCACTTCTAGGAATATGGTCACCTCCTTCCCTAGTTATCTCTCTTAAAAGCCTTCCAAAGTTCATTAAGCCTGGATGATTTATGTGAAGGCAGCCACAGGCTGAATTAGATGACCCTTTAGGGTTCCTTGGGGATTCATGATTCTATATTATTCTACGTTGACTTTTGGTTTATTCCAGAATTGATCATGTGGAACACATGGATAGTTTTCCTTAGAAACAGATCCAGGGATAGCTTCTAATTGAAGTTTATATTTTTAACATACAGACCGCATGCCTGCTGCTCTGCCAATGTGCAAGCAATTCATCAACTGTAATAATTGTGCCCGTGTCTACTTAGCAGTAAATATGTTAAATCAATAATTTGACAATGAGTTATATACACCATGATGATTGTAAAACTAACAAAATGCTACCTCTTTAAAAATAACCTATTATTCAAAATCCCTTGAATTCTTTTGGATTTTGTTGGTGCATCATAGCTGTTGATCTCTTGTTATCTGACAGATACTCTGGAGCGAGTTGTAAGACAATGCAAGATACTGTAAGATACTTTGTTTCTCACAGAGGATATTTTTTAAAACTAAAATATTATGGAATTGATTGTGATATGTCATTTTGCAAAGCCACAGAAATAACTGTATTCTCGCTTTACTTTGAGCCAATTTAAGCATAACTTTCCATGTCACAAAACAGTCTAAGTCCCAGGAATTAAGTATTTAACCTTTTTATTTCTAATATTACAAACCCTGTATTCACAGAATTTTGAGATTCTCTGTAACTAGGTTTAATCACATTTGATTACAATAAAAGGTTACAGTGGAAAAACAATACTTTTTAAATAGCTATTACTTCTTTAAAACCAGCATATAATTTCCTTTGTCTATTTTCTCTTGGGTTCTTTCTGAGTCTGCTATTATCTTTAAATATAAATCCTCAGTATTTATATAATCATAATATAGAAATATGAATATTTGTTGACTAATAAATTAATGAATAGTAAACATTGGCACTAGTCTACTTCAATAACCCTTAGGCCCAATAATTAATACATATTTGCCTTTGGATTCATTATATGAAATTCAGTCCATCTGAAGTGCTTTATTTTGGAGGAATTTACTAATAGCATCCTCAACTGAGTATATGACATGCTTCATTTGGTGGTTAGCAATCTTGGGGCTCAGAACTAATCTTCTATAATCATTGAGAGGATTTTCTAAGTGAAATGATTATAGAAAACTAGGAAATGTTCTCTGGATTTCTGCTAGAGCCTAGTAATCAGGACATTGAGTGGGTGTTAGGTTTGGAAAGGGAAAAGACACACTGAACAGTGATTTTTTCACCACCTTGGTTTGGATCAATGAATAGTTAAACAAGGAGTTGTTGCCTATTGAGCAAAAACATAAATAAATACATAGTCAGTCCACTGTCACATACTGCCTATGGAAACTTCTCTTAACATCCTTAGGTTTCTTTCAGTTGGAGAATTATCCTCAATGCAGTCTTAAACTGAAGCTTCTGTTGTTTTTCAAGTTTTGGCCTCCTAATGGCTTAGAGAAAACCCAATCTTCTGTCATGGGCTACTAAATACATTGTCTTTTCTTAATCCTAAAGGGTTCTCTAACATTTCCCTGTTCTTCTCTTCCTTCCTACAGGCCAATTCAGCAAGTGCTTAGCAATTTAACCTGCTCCTTAAGCTGGACCCTTATTTCTAACACAGTAGAGGCAGCACTTTCTTTCCTTGGTCTCAACCCTTTCTTTCCTTTTTTGGGGGCCACTTTGTGGCCCAAATATTTGTTTTTTCTTTCATATTCCTAAATCAGTAAGCTCTGAGTCTGACACAAGCATCTACTGTTCAATCAAGTATTTATTCCCTTCACATTTTTGTTTGAAAATCATATCTAGTGGATACCTCTTATTAGAATAGCATTTAACTCAGGCCAGGCCTTGGCTTGTCTTGCCTGGCTCTCTTTCCTTTCCTCAGAGCCCTAATTCCGTAAATGTCCTTGAAGATGTGTTGTATTTCTTACCTTTGTTATCTTTGCAACTCATTTAGTCTCTGGAGAGTTTTATGGCCCTTAATCCTGAGGACAAGGATTTGAATTTTCCTCGGTCCTAAGTACCCACTGGAATTTGGGGTACTTAATATAACACTGCCTTGGTCTAAGCACAGATGATTTAAAAGTAAATCTTAACTAGAGCATCCACAGGAATAATTCATCTTATAATTTAAAGTAACAAATGTTATGCTACTCACAAATGCTTAATGCCAGTATGAATACCATCCTTTTCCTATATCATATGTTAGCCTCAGCCATGACTGTGTAAGAAAAACCTAAGTAGTTCAATGTCAAGCCATAGCTGCCTATACCTAAGGCCAACCAAGCCAGTTAAAGCGTTGGAGTGGGCCCTTCATTCAAACTTGCAAGCCCATGATTGTGCTTTCTGACATGCATGAGCAGCATTTTTACTAAAGCTTGCAACAGCTACTTTTTTTTTTTTGCTCTTATGCCCTTTGCTGAGGTGCAGTCTCTGCAGAACCCCATAACTTTGCTGAATCAACATAATCTGACTTTGTTTAGTAGGCTTGTACACAGCCAGTATTGGGTGAAGGTATTCATGGTCTGACTGAAATTAGAGGCAATCTCTTTTGCTTAAAGTAGGTAAGGCCTTCATGCCACTCCCTTAAGATACACAGGAAGGTGGCCTATCTATAAACAGGAACACCATAAACTGATGTGTCCTAACATGCTGAAAATCCTGTGTGATTTTCACTCAGTCTAAAGACACATTTAAAAAGTCAATTGAAGAACATCTAATTGCTCAATTTAGCCTCTGCCGACTGCCAAGATCAAAGTTATTTTCCCCATATTAAAACTTAATGCCCACCTACAAAAGTGTTGCAAACACTAGCTGAGTTCGTAAAAAGCCTCTGAAAAATTGTAATCTATGTCTATGTGTCATGAATAAGACAATACATGTTAGAATTTTAGAAAGCACACAATAAACAGCACCTCCCTTCCCTATTAAAGTCTGAAATAAAATAAATCATAGATAAGTAGTGATTTATGGCTTAGAAATATGAGAGATCAAAATATCACCTTTATTATTAATGAAGCTAACACTAGAATGTAGCTTGCATCTGAGGGCAAGTGACTTGCTAAATATCTATTCAGGGAATCAGACTTACCTGGTTATTGGCACTAGATTGGGGCAGGCTTCCCTATTCAGAAACAGAGCCTGCCTCTTCAAAACTATGAAGAAGCAGAGAGTAATTTAATTCCTGGGGGTCACCAGAGAGAAGGAGGTAGGAAAAGGAGGTGTATTCTAATTCTGAAATTACAAATCAGTTAAATAATTTCCTCTTCCCTAGTGAGAAGTGAGAGAGAAGCTTGAGCTAAGGAAGAATTTAAAAGAACTCCTTTCACATGAAAGAAGCCACTGATGTTGGGAATGTAGAATTCTTCAGCACCTCCAACGTTTCCCAGTTTTTAATACTCTTGACCTGATATCCTCAGCCACATTTTTGTTTAACCATAGGGTTTAAGTGTTTTACTCCTTGAAGGGGAGACAGCAGGGAAGTCTTACCCTCATTTCATAGAACGTTCCACATACTTTTTGGTAAGTAAAATTTTATTGGAACATGGTTATGCCTATTTATTATATTTACATATTGTCCATGGCTTTTCACACTATAGAGGTAGAGCTTAATATTTGTGTTAGAACCCCATAACCCACAAAGCCTGAAATATTTACTATCTGGCCCTTTGCAGAAAAAAAAATTGTTATTCTCTGTCCTAGACACAGGAAACATAACTTGATCATATTCAGGTCAGCTCTAGTGGCCAACAGAGTAGATCTTGATAAATTTGTTGATAGAATAGTTCAGTGATCCCACTCACTGTTTAATAAAGGAGGTCAGTGGACGCTGCCACTGCTATGGCTTTTATTTCTAATTTGGAACCTATGAAAATACTTTATTTGAGGAAGTAGCAAGAAGTTCATTGAGGAAGTAACATAGAAAAAATATACTTAGTCATCTGCAGGTAAAAAAATTGTTAGCTACTGTTTGCAACACTTTTTGTAAGATGTTAGTTCCCACCAGATGCAAATTGTAAGCAAAAAGAATTTTTCTTAAATCTTTGTGCTAAAATACAATTTCTGTGTTGTCATATCAATAATAAGACAATGATAACAATATCAACAACCATAATACAATAATCGTTCTACATTACACTGATAAAACATTTGCTATATGTCATACAACATTGTAAGCTATTTACTGTATTCATTCTTTCTTCAAAAATCTGTGAGATAGAAACTACTATGTCCATTAAACTGATGAGTAAACTGAGGCACATAGAACTTAAGTACTTTTGTCATATCAATAAAAATGGCAGAGCCATATTTGAAAAAAATAAGCTATCTTCTTAAAAAGTTAAATCCCTGGCTAACTTACACATATATAGGCAAAGTATTTTGAAATGAATCATATATGGTGGCCAATGCTACCTAATTATAAATAAACTGATATATAGATAATGGACATTTGAGTCCCCAACATCCACTCCCCAGTGGCTGCATAAGCCAAAATATTGACCCTATTCCCCTTGTAAGTGAGTGGATCAGGAATGGACAGGCTAAGTTACCTTAGACCAATGAAGTAGAAAAATCCCCATTGCTAGTACCTTCTAAGAAAAAAAGCAATTTATTTTTTGTTTCATTGAGTAAGAGCTAAAAAATATAATTCTGATTGTTTCTAGCAGTCACTGATTGAGTTAACCTCAGGATAAATGTGCTATGGAAAGAGACTTGGTAACATTAGAATAGGGCTGAGTTAACCAAACCTGAGCTCACCTCACCTCCGTTGTCCCAGGTGAATATATGCATTAACTTACTTTTAACATGCTGTTTGAGTTTCTTTTTTGGTATTAGTAGCTGAAATGTCCTGACTAATAAAACATTAAATCACACTTAAATCCTTAAATATAGAGAACAGATATTAAGCACTTTGTCTAACTTTTATTTGCACAAAGTAGGTATTTTAAAATAGCTTGGAATTTTGAGCTCATACACTGAAGATACACTGGAATGAACACTTGGCTTGAGTAGATCTGGGTTCTTATTTTGATCTTCTATGTAACACCGAGATTCTTTGATCACATTAATTCAGGCCTCTCAGGCCGTTTTCTCTTTGAAGATGAGAAATTTAAATATGTTCTCTGAGTTTGTTTCAGGACTAACATTCTATGACATGAATTCGAGCTGAATTTATACTAAATTTCGTATTAATCTCTAAAAGAGGTTTTCTTTAAGTATGTATATATGTGTATGTGTGTGTGTGAGAAAACAAAAATAATTTTTTTTGCTTTGAATTTCAGAGAAATTCAAAATGATCACCTTTCTTCAATTAATAGAGGCTTTTTGAAAAAGAAAAAAAAATTCTGTATTTTTTTCACTCTGCAACAGAGTTAACTGTATCACCTTGGATACACCCAGAGATATTCTGGGAAGAGTTTGTACTATTTTATCATTCTGAAAATGCTTTTTCTATGCTCTCTAATTATATATATATATATATATATATACACACACACACCATACACATAAGAGATGTATATATACAAACACATATGATTATATGTAATCATATATATATCATATATATGATTTTTTGGCTGTTTGCATTCTGAATAAAGAGAAAGCTGTGAGTTTTCAGTGGCTTTTTATAATAATGGCAAAAATAAACAGCACATTAAATACATTCAGAACCAAAATAAGTCATATTTAAGGAAAACTGTTCACCTGAAATATTGGACTTTTTCAAAAACTATAATTGTGAAAAGAGTAAAGGATAATAGACATCAAGGTTATTTGTGAAAATGTGGTATATTCTGACTTTAATTTGAATCAATACCTGAAAAAAAAGTCTTGGAAAAGTCTGATGACAATAATCAGTGTAACTACAACATAACTTGAATGAATACATATTTTTTTGTTTAACCTGATGTCCAGCAAATTAAAATGTATGTTGTAGCTTATAGTTGAGAATTTATGTAACAGCAGTAGAATAAGTGCCAGCCAAATTAACAAGTTGATTGTGTAAGCGACAAACCTCATTTTAGCTAAACTGCATTTGACAAATTACATGACATTCTGCCTGGTAAATTTGAGATTTATAACGTTTACTGCTATCAACAATAATGAAACAGCAGAGAATTTCAATATCTGACATTTAATCTGCACATTTTAGTTTGCTTCTTACTAATCAATGCTTAATTCTGGAATATATTTTATGTTTTGTCACCCCTTAGGCTGCAAACTTTCATTTAGTCTTATCAACGTTAGCTGAACTCTAACATCGCACAAAGATTAACTTTTTCTTCACTCTTCCCATTTTTAAGGATGAGAATTACTGTGGGGAAAATATATTTTAAAGTTTACAAGAATATCCACAATTAAATTGTTTGCAAGTTGAGATAAAATTTGGTAGCACATCTTTTAAATCATATTAGCTATCCATTGGTATGACTAATATATGGTAATAGAGTTGTTTAATGACAAATTTAAAGATAAAGAATTGATATTTACTATAACTCCTGGAGGTGTACATATGAATGGTTCACACCCATAAGAAATAAAATTTCCAGCTTCCATGTATAAGATATCAGACTTCAAAAAATCTTCAATGAGTATTACATGAGTTACTAGTGGTATTTAGCAGACCACTACAACTGGAGAGAGTGAATGAAATAACATTTTTATATAGGGTTAGAACAATTACTACTCGCTTGAAAAAGCTTGCCCATGATTTCCGCATGTGTATATGTGAGGCATAGCAACGGACTCATGAGACTGATTTTCACACCAATCTGAATGCTCATTTGGAAGCTGCATTTCAAACTCCCACTTTGGTGACAACAGACTTGCTCTATTTTTATTGTTGTTGCTCCAATATTTTCAGAACTCTCTAAGGCTCTCAACAGTCAGTTCATTCACTTTGTGCAATATAAGAAAATGAAAAAAATAAACTTTATTGTATTATGCCATGCAGATTTGGGTGTTTTTTGCTACTCCAGTTTAACCTAGCCTATCCTGATAAATTCAGCATCTACAGAAATAATTCAGTATCTAATAGCATGTCAGTACAGCTGTTTAAAAGTGTTGAGAAGTAGTTTAATCTTCTGGTTTAAAATGCTTTAAATTATCTCTAAATATAGGAATAGTACTGTAGACTAAGGCAAGGTTAAACTTCAGGAACAAAAAAAGTGGCCTCATATTTGGAGAAAAAAGGATTTAAAACAAACAGCCAAGCATTTATAGTTCAGGGAATGATGCATTGCCCAGTGTGACAGACAAGAGTCAATTGTCCAGTGCAGTTGGCATTTACAGTAAGAGATTGGTGGGAGTTGGTAATAATGGGCAGTAATGTAAAGTAAATGGCAAAATTAGAAAGTGACATTCTTTGAAAGGTCTTGAATGTTCTGCTAAATAGTTTGAATTTTATGGAGCAGGCAATATCATGGAGCAGTAAAGTGACGTAATCAAAACTGTTAAGGGGAAAGTAATTCTGCAGTGTGAAGAATCCTAGGAGAGGACTGGGTCTTGAGGTTGGTTAACAGGTTTTTGCCATAGTTCAGACAACAGCTTATGAGAGCCATAATGTTATTAGAAAGACATAAAGAACTGTAATGCTAATCTCTTGATAATTAATTCAAAGCACTTTTTACTATACCACGTTACCTAAAGATTAACTTTCATTACATTTTTTACTATATTGGTGATTTTGATAGTATAAGAAAAATGTTAAACATTGTGATTTCTCTACACAATATATGACATTGAATAAACTTCTGGGAATACCTTATCTTGACAATTACATTACTATCTAACAAGGTTGCCTTCAGCTAGTTTACATATAAAGAGGATAAACTGTATATTCTTTTATTTATCTAAAACCCTGAAAAAATAAAATAGACTATTTCAATGAAATTACTTTGATACCTTTCTGTCCTTATAAATTCATAAGAAAATTATTTTTAAATTAAGATAAAATCAATTACTATTATTATACTATAGATTATTTTTAAATAATAGAGTTAAACAGATAAAATACATATATTCTCAAGGCCATAGTTTACCCATATTAAATTGGGATTGTAATGTTGCCTACTTCATAAGATTATTATGGGTATTAAATAAAATAATATTTATAAAGCACTTGAATTATCTGACACAGTGTAGACTATATAAATATTAGTATTATTAATATTTTTACTATATCAGTCATCAAATAGAAGTAACAGACAAAAATAGAAGTTAAAAAAATGAAGTGACAAATGGATCATTTAATATTATGAAAAAATTATGACAAATACTGGCAATAATGTATTTCCTTTTGCAGAGCTTTTAAATATAGAAATAATTTTAATATTTAAAAACATTTAAATATTAAAATTGTCTAAATTATTTTTTCCATCCATTCAACTGATTTTAGTAAGCATCTATTATGTACATTATTCAAGTTTCTGAGCTGGAAAGACATAAAAACACAGTTCTAGCCCCTAAAATTTTACATTCAAATGGGGGAAAAGGCATTTTTAAAAGTAAATATGATTGAAAACATAATATATTAATAAAATTGCATGCAAAAGGTAATAAGAATATAGCTAATCAGAGCACTTAAACACCTTTTTTAATAGATGGTAGGGTTTTACAGAGAAATTCAGTATCTGTGTTGAATTTTGATGTAAAACTCAGTATATTAAGGACACAATGGTGGAAAACTTTCTACAGAAGTAGAAGGGATGCACACAAGCACATAACAGCAAGTTCATAATAATGGTACATAGTGCTTTTGCTGGGAGTGAGATGAATGGTAATGACAGGAATAAAAATCAGAGGTCTATTTTACAGATAACAAAACTGAGATGGAAAGACTATGGATTGTTTGACCCATTGAGCCAACAAATAGGAGGGTACTGATTTCAACACAAATATTTTCTGAAATATTTTTGATGTTCTGCATTGCTTTAATTTTGAAAGATTTTTTTTCAAACCACGTATTTTTAAACATGAAACACATGTTTCCTTTTGAAGCAATATCTCAGTAGAGTAGTGTTTCTCAGCTGGCTCATTGGCCCCTATTTATCTTGTAACATTTCCAAAACACTTATGAATAATACCATGGTTTACCATCATTTCTAGTGAAAAGTATGGATAAATTATAAGCAGAAGATTGAAGATACATCTCCTTTGACACAACAGCAGTGAATAAAAGGGTGGCCGTGGGTCAGGAGGTGATCAGCAACGGGCCATGTGGAAAGAAAAGGAAGCATACTTCCAATTCCATTTATACATCAGACGTCAGACAGGATGAGGCAGAGGGCAAATTATTTACTGACCACAGCACAAAACATGAGTTTGAAGTGAGTATATCAAAAGCTGTCTTCTAATTATAAAATTATATAAAGTTAAGGCTTCCAAAATAAATAACACTACAAGGTGATGGGGAGGGGATTTTAAATAAAATATGAGTTATGTCCCTATGCTCAAGTAGCTTATTCTCCAACAGGTTAAACAGTACATATGTATTGGTATTAGCAAAATAGAGGATGCAAGTGCAGCATTAAATCTGTAGGTGGTGGCAAGAGAAGAAAACATTATTTTTCATTGAAGAATCAAAAACAAAGTCACTGAAGAGAAACGACGTGTAGAACCCTTGAAGGGAAAGCATAATTCACATTGAAAAAACTGTGGGGGCTGGTGTGAGGGCCTTGGTGAGTCATTGGTTGGGGACTTTCTTGAAAATTGGTTGAAAATGACAGGGAAGATAATCTTCTTTCTTTTTGTCATATTAGAGAATTATATTCCTACATTCCACTAAATGAATTCCTCTGTATTTTATAATAGTAAAATATGGCTACTAGGTAGATGTAACATGTGCATTTCATAAAACTATAACTTCCCTAAACAACATCAAGTCGATGAGAAACTGAATAGTGTCATTTGCACAGTATTATGTAAGATGTTTGGGCTCATTAATTTTTAGCTTGAGGTATACTTTTTATTGACAAATCAGAAAATTTATACAAGTGTTAGAAAATATGCTTGTGTGTTCCCTTATGACATATTTAAATATCTTTGAAGGAAATAAATTATTTTAAATTGACATTGGCTTGTATCACTTTGGCAATAATAATGAATATAGAGCCAAATGACTAACATAATTGGCACTTCTGAGATGAAAAGAGCAGTGAGGATCCAGAAAAATTCAAAATGATCACCTTTTTTCAATTAATAGAGGCTTTTTGAAAAAGAAAAAAAATATTTTCTATATTTTTTTCACTCTGCAACAGAGTTAACTGTATCACCTTGGATATACCCAGAGATCTTCTGGGGAGAGTTTGTACTATTTTATCATTCTGAAAGTGCTTTTTCTATGCTCTCTAAATCTGGAAGTGGAGAAACAGGTAGCTTACTTCAAAAAATAATATTAATACATCACTTCTTTTTATGTTATTTATTCACATGTTAATGTAGCAGACCTTCAGGGAGCATCTGAAATGTGACTCATGCTATAGAAGCATGCAATATAAAGACAGACATGCGAATAGTTAACTACAAGTAAAGGCACCAGGGACAGGAGGGCAGCATGCACAGATGGCAGTGAGGAGGAATTAACTATTGTTGTCCAGGATTGCTAATTAAAAGCTCCCTGGGCTGAATGGCCTAATGATTTTCTTTTTTTAAAAATAGAAAAGTCAGAACAAACCTGGGAACAGTGGCTTACACCTGTAATCCTAGCACTTTGGGAGGCCAAGGGAGGAAGATCGCTCGAGGCCAGTAGTTTCAGACCAGCTTAGACAACATAGCAAGACACGGTTTCTACAAAAGTTATTTCAAAAAAATAACTGAGCATGCTGGCATGTACCTGTAGCCTTAGCTACTTGGGAGGCTGAGGTGGGAAGATAGCTTGAGCCCAGGAGTTTGAGGTTACAGTGAGCTATGAACATGCTATTGCACTCCAGCCCCTGGGCAATGGAGAGCTTGTCTCTTAAAAAACATCACAACAGTAATGTTTTAATACAACAATCATACAAATTAAATGATTTTTTTTTATTCCTTTTACCATTTTAAAAAAGAGGAAGTTAAGGCTTTGGGTGTTTAAGTGACTTTTTTAATAGAGCAAGAATTGGGCCGAGGACACAATCATGATGATATTTACCTGATATGAAGTGTTTTCTATGTGCCAGGAACTGTGTTAAGTATTTGGTATTTTTTCTTTTCTTTTTTTTTTTTTTTTTTTTTTTGAGACGGAGTCTCGCTCTGTCGCCCAGGCTGGAGTGCAGTGGCGGGATCTCGGCTCACTGCAAGCTCCGCCTCCCGGGTTCACGCCATTCTCCTGCCTCAGCCTCCCAAGTAGCTGGGACTACAGGCGCCCGCCACTACGCCCGGCTAATTTTTTGTATTTTTAGTAGAGACGGGGTTTCACCGTTTTAGCCGGGATGGTCTCGATCTCCTGACCTTGTGATCCGCCCGCCTCGGCCTCCCAAAGTGCTGGGATTACAGGCGTGAGCCACCGCGCCCGGCCTTTTCTTTTCATTTACTATTCAGAGCAAACTATGAAGTAGAACCTATTTGTGGAGTATAATATGAGGCAGAAATACAGTGTATGATACCACATGAGAAAACTTGTCAAATTAAGGAGAGACATTGGGAAAGAGTTATAAGAACTTGTGAACACAAAAATATCTTTGGTAATTCAAACTTGATAGTATTCTGCTGACTTAATTATAATGTAAAATAAAACAGAAAGATATTTGTAAATTTATGTTTTCTCACCTATATTTCCCGTTGGCCATTGCCTCATGGCCAAGAGACCCAGGAGAATCAGCTCAGCTTCAAAGAAAATGTGGCTGTCCATTTTCCTGAATGATGTGTTTCCTCTCCTTTACTGTAGCCAAAAAGAGGAACATAAGTGAAAAGTACCACTGAAACAACACAAATGCTATATCATTTGGTAGTTGAGGAAAACTGAAGTTTCAGTAAATTACCCAAAGCCTCTCAGGTTAGCAAATTTAACCTAGGCTTTCTGACTACAAAGATTGTTTAACAAATATACTGTATTGTTCTTCTTGAGTACTAACCATGCTACATCTTAACAAAGACCTTCTTCTGATGCAGGTTTGTGAAACAGTCTACTGTACATGAAAATTTACTATGTCAAATCAATTCTGATGAACTAGTAATTCACCATGGCCATCAATATTAATAGCAGGAAGTGAAAAGTTATGATCTGTGGTGCCTGTCATCTCGAGTATGCAAATTTATAACTAATAAGCTTCTGGGATGCCAAAAGGACTGAAGAGTTGTTTTTAAAATGTTCTTTCATATTCATTCTATAATTCTAAGCAATAATCTTTATGAACAAAGAAAAATAAAGGTTGAGTTTATGCTACTAGAAAATATATGTGCTATTTCCTAGTCACCCTGTTTCTAGAACAGGGAAATAACCCCCCATGGTATCACATATGTGTAATTTCATTATACTTTAATAATAGGAAAATATCATTGAAGATTTATGCTAGCCTTAGTTGAACAAGTTATAAATTTATATATAGAAGTCACTGAAACATCTGTGTCTGATAATGAACAAAAATAAGTTTATTATAGCTCACTACAGTGGATAAAAAACACCACATTTATTGACAGAATATAAGCAGTGTCACAGAGGAGAAAGTTAGAAATAAGATATTTACCGGGCTCTGGAGGGAAGGTTCAGATGATCAAAGAAGAGGGCCTTTTAGGTTGGGGAACTAAAAATGGACAAAAATGGGGATATAAGAATTTATAATTAATGAGCATAATTAAGGTTGTTGATAAGTAAACTCATTTTGACCAGTTGAGCAAATAATTGTTTCTTGATAAGAATGTCTTGAAACAAAAGGTGAAGTTATTTATTGGTTTAGTCTTATTTTTCCAGCACAAAATTTTTCTGAAACCAATAACTAAGTCATGTTCCCATAGGCGGTCTACAGTCTTATCTAAAATCATGTTGACGACAGATGACACTATGTGAGACCCATTCTGGCTGGTGATCCGTGAGTCCCAAAGTGGGAGTCCCAGAGATCTTGCTTCTAGTTGTGCCAATTTGTAGCACTGATTACATAATTAATGGCTTCTATCATTCTAACATCTATCAAAAGGTAATGGAACACATTTTTAATTTGGAAATAGACACACGGTCTTTTATTTACCGTTTTTGTTGAAATTTAACTGACATAATTGTATTTATCATTTACTAATATTTACTTTGTAAATGGCTTAAAGATTTCCATGTTGTTGCTGTAATCATAAAATCCAGAAAGGTCATATTAGCAAATTTTTCATTCATTAGTCTTTAAGTGTGTCAGTTGGTACTGACTGCAGACTGACTTATGAATACCAATTACCATTATTTCTATTTATTCATGTTAAAGTATTTACTTGTAATAATATTTTGTGTGCTACATCATTGAGTAAATATTTCACATTAAGATAAATGCTGTAACATTAGTATGCCACTAAATTTGCTATACTCTTTAACCTAATAAAGAACACCGCATGATTGTTACTGATTAAACTTAGACTTTTATATTTCAACTCATAATGTTACCAAATACATAAAGTTATAAGAAAGCAAATATCCCCAGAGTTTTATAAAATTACACATATATCTTCCTCTTTTATTTCAGAAACTTCTCATTTTCTTCTAAATCTTCATTGGTTGCCTAATGAGTATAAGTTGACTAATAAATGCTGGATAGTAACTATCATAAACATATTTTTTCATCAAAATAAATGAAAGATCAAAGCTGAAAATTAGTAATTTCTTGTGGCAAAATTGCAGGCTAAATATTACAATTTTAACTCACTTTAGTTTGTAAAAGTACAGTCTTTCATCTTTCATGGGATAACAAAGTGTTTTTAGTTGAATCTCCTCACAAAGGTATGCTTTACAACTAAGGAATGGTATGTGTGGGATTATTAAAGGATGTCATTACAGTGATTTTTAGCTGCTTCTACCCCTAACTTCTTTGTATTGTGTCTCATCTAAGTGCACCTAAGTATTATTTTTTATGAATAAGTGTCAGGGTGTAAATTGGTATTTGAGAAATACTTTCTCTCTATCTTTGATGTGCCTATATCATATTTAAATTCCTTCTATTGAGGTAATACATCGTTTTTCTAAATTTTATATGTGAAATATTTACATGGTTTCTCAAATTCCTCATTAAATTGATGAGCAAACAGACTTAAAGTTATATTTTGTGTTTCTCAGAAAAGTAAAACCTGAGTTTGATATTCTGAAGGTGGCCAAATATGTATCTTTCAAGTCAAAATGAGGGGGAAACAGTTGGTTTTATAAACACCCCAAATCTATTAACCAAATTTGATTGTGTGTTTTTCTTCTGATCTGCATTCTTATCACCACACTTCTCCCATGTTGACTTCTGAAATAAATCAATCTGTAATGGGCCACGTGAAGAACAGTCTCAAATAACTGGGAGAACTGACCCATAGAGGCTCCTTCTCACCTCTATCAAACAAAATGATAAAAATGGCAGTGACAGCAGCAGGACCATATTTACTTGGCCTGCATTAGCAAGATCACCAGATGTGAAGGCTTATGGACACCTAGAATCTTGTAGCTGTATTTGACTTGTATTTTAATTTGGTCTTTCCATTTCCTTTTATAGTACATTTTTGTGTAGTAATCCACAGTACATTTCCAGAATTACTATAAAGCAAACAGGAAATCTCTGATATCGTAATACATGTACACAATGTGTAATGATCAAATGAAAGTATTTAAGATATCTATCACCTCAAATTTTTTTTGTGTTGGGAACATTTCAGTTTTTGCTTCTAGCTCTTATGAAATATAAAATAAGTTGTTAACTACAGTCACCCTACTGTGCTATTGAAGACTAGAACTTATGTCTTCTATCTAATTATATGTTTGTACATATTAGCCAACTCTCTTCATCTCCCCCATCAAAGAGTGTGATGCTTCCAGCTTTGTTCTTTTTGCTCAATATTGCTTTGGTTATTTGGAGTATTGTGATTCCATACAAATTGTAGCATTGCTATTTTCTAGTTCTGTGAAGAATGTCATTGGTATTGTGATACAGATTGCATTGGCTTTGTAGATTGCTTTTAGAAGTGTGTTCATTTAAAAAATATTAATTCTTCTGATCCATGAGCATTGAGTATCCTTTCATTTGCTTGTGGCCCCTTCAATTTATTTCATCAGTGTTTTGTTGTTTCCCTTATAGAGGTCTTTTAACTCCTTTGTTAAATTTATTCCTAGGTATTTTTGTAGTTATTGTGAATAGGATTATTTTCTTGATTAATTTTTCAGCTTCTTTGTTGTTGGTATATAGAAACACTATTGATTTTTGTATATTGATTTTGTGTCTGGGCTTTACTGAACTTTTTAAATCAATTCTAAGTGTCTTTTGGCCTAGTCTTTAGGCTTTTCTCTACATAGGATTATATCACCTGCAAACAGAGACAATTTGACTTCCTCTTTTCTAATCTTGATGGCTTTTATTTTTCGTTCTTGTCTAATTGCTCTACCTAAAATTCCAATGCTATGTTAAATAAGAGTAAGGAACGTGGGCATACTTTTCTTGTGGATATAATATTCTTGACCTGCAGAATTTTTTTCTTTTGGTACTTAAATTTATCCTCCCAGTCTCTCCTACCCTTATGTGACTTGATGCCTTTTTCTCTTTCTGTTTATACAGTTCTCCCTTTGTCTTTGACTTTTGACAGTATGACAATAGTGTCCCTTGGAAGAAGGCTTTTTGGGTTGAGTCTATTTGGGGATCCTTCAGCTTTTTATGTATGGATGTCTATGTCTCTTGGAAGCCTTGGGAAGTTTTAAGCTATAATTTTGTTAAATAGGTTTTCTATGCCTTTGTCCAACTCATCTCCTTCTAAAATTCTCAAAATTCAAATATTTGTTCTCTTTATGGTGTCCCATATGTCCTGTTGGCTTTTTTTATTCTTATGTATTCCTTTTTTTCTTTGTTTTTGTCAGTGTTAGCATAAAAGACTTATCTTCAAGTTTGGAAATTTTTTCTTCTGCTTAAGCTAGTCCAAGTTTGTCCAACTTGCAGCCCATGGGCCATATGCAGCCTTGGATGCCTTAGGATGTGGCCCAACAGTAATTTGTAAGCTTTCTTAAAACATTATGAGACTTTTTGCATTTTTTTAGCTCATTAGCTATAGTTAGTGTATTTTATGTGTGGCCCAAGACAATTCTTCTTCTTCCAGTGTAAACCAGGGCAAAAGATTGGACACCCCGATCTAGTCTGTGGTTGAAGATCTTGATTGTATTTTTCATTTCATTCAATGAGTCATTCAATTCTAGAATTTCTATTTAGTTATTTTTAAATAATATCTATTTTGTTTTTTAATTTCTCATTCAGATTATCAACTGTTTCCCTGATTGTTTTTCTATTGTTTATCTGTATTCTGTGTTACCTCACAATTTCTTTAATATCACTATTTCTAATTATTTTTCCAGAATTTCCTAGTGTAGGGTCCAGCCCCACAGGGTCCATGGGTTTTTCGCTGTGTGTGGAGACAAGAGAGCGTAGAAATAAAGACACAAGACAAAGAGAGAAAAGACAACTGGGCCCGGGGGACCACTACCACCAAGACGCAGAGACCGGTAGTGGCCCTGAATGCCAGGCTGCGCTGATATTTATTGGATACAAGACAAAGGGGCAGGATAAGGAGTGTGAGCCATCTCCAGTGATAGGTAAGGTCACGTGGGTCACGTGTCCATTGGATAGGGGGCCCTTCCCTGCCTGGCAGCCAAGGCAGAGAGAGAGAGGGAGAGAGAGAAACAGCTTACAGCATTATTTTTGCATATCAGAGACTTTTAGTACTTTCACTAATTTTGCTACTATTATCTAAAAGGCAGAGCCAGGTGTACAGGATGGAACGTGAAGGCGGACTAGGAGCGTGACCACTGAAGCACAGCATCACAGGGAGACGGTTAGGCCTCTGGATAACTGTGGGTGGGCCTGACTAATGTCAGGCCCTCCACAAGAGGTGTAGGAGTAGAGTCTTCTCTAAACTCCCCCAGGGAAAGGGAGACTCCCTTTCCCGGTCCACTAAGTAGCGGGTGTTTTTCCTTGACACTAACGCTATCCCTAGACTACGGTCCGCTTGGCAAGGGGCGTCTTCCCAGAAGCTGGCGTCACCGCTAGACCAAGGAGCCCTCTGGTGGCCCTGTCTGGACATAACAGAAGGCTCGCACTCTTGTCTTCTGGTCACTTCTCATTATGTCCCCTCAGCTCCTATCTCTGTATGGCCTGGCCTTTCCTCGGTTACGATTATAGAGCGAGGATTATTATAACATTGGAATAAAGAGTAAGTACTACTAACTAATGATTAATTATATTTATATATAATCATATCTAAGATCTATATCTGGTATAACTATTCTTGTTTTATATTTTATTATACTGGAACAGCTGGTGCCCTCGGTCTCCTGCCTCGGCACCTGGGTGGCTTGCCGCCCACATCCTAGTTTTATTATTAGAGTTGCTTAGCAGATTATTAGAAAAATGCAAATCAAAATCACAATAAGATACCGTCTCACACCAGTCAAAATGGCTGTTATTAAAAAGTCAAAAAATAACAGATGCTCGCGAGGTTGCAGAGAAAAAAGAAAATTTATACACTGCTGTTGAGAATGTAAATTATTTGAGCCATTGTGGAAACCAGTTTGGCAATTTCTCAAAGAACTTAAAACAGAATTGACCCAGAAATCCCAACATTGGGTATATACCCAAAGGAGTATAAATCATCCTACCAAAAAGACACATGCACATGTGTGTTCACTGCAGCACTAGTCACAATAGCAAAGACATAGAATAAATGTAAATGCCCATCAATGGCAGACTGGATAAAGAAAGCATGATATGTATACACCACGGAATACTACACAGCCATGAAAAAATGAGGTAATGTCCTTTACAGCAACAAAGATGAAATTGGAAGCCATTATTCTAAGCAAACTAACTCGGGAACAGAAAACCAAATACCACATGTTCTCACTTGTAAGTGGGAGCTAAACATTGAGTACATTTGGACACAAAGAAAGGAACAGCAGACACCAGGACCTACTTGAAGGTGGAGGGTGGGAGGAGGGTGAGGATCAAAAAATACATATTGGGTAGTATGTTTTATTACCTGTGTGATCAAATAATCTGTACACCAAGTTCCTGTGACATGCAATTTACCTTTGCAACAAACTTGCACACGTACCCCTGAACATAAAATAAAAGCTTTAAAAAGGGAGAGAATTATTTTGTTACTTTGGAGTTGTCATAATATTTTGGTTTCTCATATCTGTGTATCAACGTAAAGACACAAGAAACATGAAACAGTCACTTCTTGCAATTGTTTGGATTGGTGTTCATAAGGAAAGACATTTCCCAAAAATGTATTTATGATGTTGTTCAGGAAAGGTTGATTCTAAATGGACACAGTAATGTAATCTTCGTGTGAGTTCTTTAGCTGTAATCAGTGGCAGCGGTGTCAGTTCCTCAGTAGCTTAGGCTGTGTTTATTATTGGAGGCTGTGACAAGGCTTTGTTGGGAACAAGGATGCCAGGCAGTCCAGTCCTTGGACACCTGTAATGATGGCAACAAGCTGGATGTGCTGATCTTTGGGCCACTGGTGGTGGTGTGGGCAGTGGTATTGATGGGTCTGGGCAGGCTGGTTCTCAGGTCTCCAGACAGCTTGCTTGGGTGCTGGCAGTGGCAGTGGTGGGTTGAGTGCATGAATTAGTCCCTTGACCCCCAAGTAGTATACATGTTGTTAATGGTGGTAGTAGCAGATGCCGGCCAACCCTGAAGCCCATGAGTGGCAGCAGTGTCATTAACAGGCTGGACAGGCCAATCCCCAAACCCCTTGAGTGGCATATGCAGATGGGTGCCAGCAGTGGCAGTGGCAAGCTGAGTAGGCTGATCCCTGGGTCCCCAAAAGGTGCATGCAGGTGCCAGCTGTGGGTGGGGTGGGCACTCCCTTATTCCTCTGGATGATACTTCCATATACTGGTAGCAGTGTGCAGAGCAGGCCTATGGCTAGGTCCCCAGTAATGTACACAAGCAGTAGTGGTGGGAAAGCAGGCTCATTCTCATGTACCCAGAATGTGTGCGTGGATGTCTTCAGTGGTGGTAATAAGTGGGGTGGTCCTTCCCTCAGGTTCCTCCAGATGTTGTGCACAGATGCCAGCTGTAGCAGGCAGAACTGATCAATCTCCAGGCCCTAATTCTTCTTTTTGATCAACTCATTAGAATTTACCATGTTGATGAATATTGCATACTTCCTAGTACATATAAGCAAGAGTTTCTTCAGGATGTAAGCATACAATTGGACTTGCTAGATCATAGAGGGTAAAAAAATTAAATTTTTCTTAATTATGTCAAATCAGTTTTTCAAATGCTATCACCTATTTCTAGCCCTACTGACATTATATAACTGTTCTAGCTATTTTAAAATCTTGGAAACACCTGGAATTTTCAGACTGCAAAATTTTTGCCAATAAGATAGTTATTTAAAAAAAATCTTAATCAGAGTAATTACATTCTCTGAATACTAATAAATATCAGCATTCCCTGAATACTAATAAATATCAGCATTTTGTCCCATGTTATTAGAAGTTTGCATTTTCTCTTTTGAGAAGAGTTTTTGTAAGACTTTTACACATTTATTTGACTGGATTAATTGCTTTTATTCTTATTAGACTATTGAAGTTTTAGTTTGTCTGTTTGTAGTGAACTTTGGATACCTATCTTCTGTCAGTTATAAGTTATACAAATGTCTTCTCGCTGTTTCTGACTTTTCTTTCCTTTTTATACTTTAATGTCTTCAGATTAACAGATTTTTTTAGAATTTTAAATTAAATATATTAAATGACACAAATTGTATATATCTATCATGTGCAACATAATATTTTGAAATATCTATAAATTGTAAAATGGCTAAATCAAGCCAATCAATATATACATCATCTCACAATACATATCAATTTTTGTGGTAGTAACACTTAAAATGTACACTCTTTGCAATTTTCAAGAATATATTAATATATTGTTATTAACTAGAGTCACCATTTTGTACAATAGATATCTTTAACTAACTCCTTCTAATTGACACTGTATATCCTTTGACCAATATCTTCTCAACCTCCTCCCAAATCCCTGCTAACCAACATTCTACTCTCTGTTTCTTATGAGTTCAACATGTTTAGATTCCACATGTAAGTAAGATCATGTCGTATTTGTCTTTCTGTGCCTGGCTTATTCACTTTACATGGTGCTCCCCAACTTCATCTTTTGTCTTGCAAATGACAGGGGTTCTTCCTTTTTTAAGGCTGAATAGTATTCCATTTTGTATATGTGCTACATTTTCTTTATCCATTCATCCATTGATGGATATTTAGATTGATTTTATAAATATCTATTACAAATAATGCTGCAATAAACATGGGGGTGCAGGTATCTTTTTTGACATACTCATTTCATTACCTTTGGATGTATACCCAGGAGTGGGATTGCTAGATTATATTATAGTGCTATTTTTTATTTTCTTGAGGAACCTAATACCATTTTCCATAATGGCTGTTCTAATTTATATCCTTATCAACAATGTTCAAGTGTCCCCTTTTGCCACATCTTATTGAATACTTGTTATCTTTCATCTTTTAGATAATAACCATTCTAACAGGCATGAGGTAGTATTTCATTGTGGTTTCAATTTATGTTTTTCTACTGATTAGTGCTCTTGAGTATTCTTTTCATATACTGTTGGCCATTTGTCTTCTTTTAAGAAGAGTCTATTCATGCCCTTTACTCATTTTTAGAGTTGGAATATTTGTTTTCTTGCTACTGAGTTGTTTCAGTTTCTTAAATATTTTAGATATTAATCTCTTAACAGATGTATGGTTTCCAAATATTTTCTCCAATTCTGCAGGTTGTTTCTTCACTGTGGTAATTATTTCCTGGGCTACGCAGAAGATTTTTAATTTGATGTAATCTCATTTGTCTTTTTTTTTTTTACTTTTTTGGCCTATGCTTTTGGTTCACATCCAAAAAAATCTTTTCTCAGACCAATGTCATGAACTTCTTCCTCAATGTTTTCTTCAACTAATTTTACAGTTTCAGGTCTTACATTTCAGTGTTTAATCTTTTCAGTTTATTTAATTACATGGTGTGATGTAAAGGTTTATTTTTATTAGTCTGCATGTGGATAACCACTTTCCTCAACACCATTTATAAAAGATATCATTCTTTCCTTGACATCTTTGCCAAAATTCATTGGCCTTAAATGCATATATTTGTTTCTGGACTCTCTGTTCTGTTCTCTTGGACTGTGTGTCTGTTTTATGCCAGTACTATTGCTGTCTTGATTATTATAGCTTGGTAGCAGATTTTGAAATCAAGTAGTATGCTGCCTCCAGCTTTGTTCTTTTTGCTGAAGTTTGCTTTGGCTATCCAGGATTTTTCTTGTGGCTCCACACAAAATTTTTAATTTTTTTTTCTATTTTTGTTAGAATGTCATTGAGATGTTGACAGGGATTACATAGAATCTGTAGATCACTTTGGGTAGTATGAACATTTAAACAATGTTTACTCTTCAAACATATGAACAAAGGATATCGTTTTCTTTATTTGCGTTTCTTCAGTTTATTTCGTCAATGTTGTTTTGTTTTCAATGTACAGGTCTTTTATCTCTTTTATTAAATTTACTCCTAAGTATTTTACTTATTTACTTATTTTAATATTCATTTATTTATTTTGTAACAAGAATTGTTCTCTTGAATTATTTTTCGTTTTATTTTTAAATGATAGTTTTATTTAAAACATTGCTAGTTCTTTAAAGATTTGTTTTCCAGATTTAATAAAACATTTTTATTTTTATCTTAAGGTAGCTGTAGTTTACATTTGGTTGAAAAAGCATATATTTGTGAACCAAGATGAAATATTTTTTCTCTCTAGAATTCAGAAAGTATTAGTACTTTGTATTTTTATAGCAATGTAGTTATTTGTATAAGTTCAATAATAATCTGTTCTCTTTATAACAGAACATAGTAGGAAACATTTGTTATATCACCCAGTTATCTTGACTTCTTTTTTGTATAGTCTGTTGTTAGTATATAGAGACATTACCAATTTTTGTTGATTTAGTATTTTGCAAATTTGCTGAATTTGTTTGTTAGTTCTAATGGTCTTTTTAGTTGAGTCTTTAGTGTTTCCATATATAAGATTACATTGCTTGTAAACAGGGACAATTTAACTATTTCTTTTTCAATTTGGCTGCCTTTTATCTTTTTTTCTTTGCTAATTACTTTGGCTTGGACTTCCAGGATTACGTTAAATGTAAAGCACCCTAGTCTTGTTCCTGATCTAAGAAATGTGAATGTGAGAGCTTATAACTTTTCACATTCTGATATTAGCTGTAGGTTTATCATCTATAGTTTATTTTGCTTTGAGATGCATTCCTTCTATACGTAATTTGCTGAGAGTTTTTTATCACGAAGGAATGTTGAGTCTTGTCAAATGATTTTTTTGCTTCTATTGAGATGATCACATGATTTTTGTCCTTTGTTCTGTTAATATAATGTATCACAATTGTAGATTTGGGTAGGTTGAACCATCCTTGTATCCCTGGGATAAATCCCATTTGTTCATGGAAAACAATGATTTTAATGTGTTGTTCAATTTTGATTTGCTAGTATTTTGTTGAGAAGTATATAGGAGTATCTTATGTTTCAAGGACGTTGGTCTGTAATTTTATCTTTTTGTTGTGACCTTATCTGGCTTTGATATAAGGGTAATGGGATAATGCTAGCTTCACGCAATGAATCTGGAAGTATTCCCTCCTCTTTAATATTTTGGGAGAGTTTGATAAGAATTGGTATAAGTTCATTAATTTTTTGGTAGAAGTTAGCAGTGAAGCCATCAGCGGGGATTTTGTTTGATAAGAAACACATTATTACTGATTCAATCTTCTTATTTGCTATCTCTTATGATCCTTTATATTTCTATGGTATTATTTGTAATGTGTCTTTTTCATTTTTGATTTCATTTATTTGACTTTACATTCATAGTGACATGCTTATAGAGTGAAGCATAATATCTTCTTGTGCTCTTATATTTTCCACTAAGTTATGCATCTAATTGCATTATTTTCACTTTTCCCTAACTTTCAAAATTTGAAAATTTAAAATATCAAATATTCAAAGTCTCCCATTGGCTTTACAATATTCTATAAGGTACTGAAAATTATTATCAAGGCAATTCTAGAATGTAAGGATCAGCCTGAAGGCAGCAAAGGCTTAACTAATATTTGTATATTTAGATGAAAAGTAGTTCAATATATCATAATGTAGAATGTTTCCCTAGAAGGATAGCTGACTACAGGCCTAGCATCTGTTGATAAACTTATATTGTTAACAAACCAAAGGTCAGAATTGTAATATAATCCTGATATGGGAGGCAGAGTCCACACATATTTTGGATGTACCTTTAAAGCTGAGAGGCCAGGCGCAGTGGCTCACGCCTGTAATCCCAGCACTTTGGGAGGCCTAGAGGGGCAGATCACCAGGTCAGGAGATCGAGACCATCCTGGCTAACACGGTGAAACCCCATCTCTAGTAAAAAAATCCAAAAAATAAATAGCCGGGCGTGGTGGCGGGCACCTGTAGTCCCAGCTGCTTGGGAGGCCTTGGCAGGAGAATGGCGTGAACCTGGGAGGCGAAGCTTGCAGTGAGCCCGAGATCTCGCCACTGCACTCCAGCCTGGGCAACAGAGCGAGACTTCATCTCAAAAAAAAAAAAAAAAAAAAATTAAAGCTGAGAATAAGCTATACTTGAAAGCAGTTCTGTAGAGAAGTAGAAAAGAATTTTGATAGCTTTTTAAACGAAAGATATAGAATAATTAAAATTAGCATTCCAGTTAAAGATAATGAAATAATTTACATAGATTTACCTGTACTCCCTCCTGAAATCCCGCAAATAATTAGTAAAATATTTGTTAAGGCTAGCAACCCACTAGAATAAGACAGGAGGAGAAAAAAGACAAAATCTTGGAAGCTAAAAAACAATTAAACAAGTATTAACAGACTTGGGAGATCTGAGAATTTGGAAACTGAAATTGGCAGTGAGAAAACTGGTGAAGCATGATGATTGATAGCACAGCATCCACAAAAGCCTCAGGAAGTGGCGACACTAGATAACTAGAAGGATGAGTAAAAGTGGATTAAAACTTCCACTAGTTAGATGTTTTCAAGTTGATACATTTTTCACCAAACCATCTATGTGCTGACATATCCAACAGTCTTTGTATACAATCACACTAATTTTTAACCTTAATATGTCAGAGAATTCTGCATAACCCACTGAGCCCAGTGAGATGTACAAGGACATCCAGATGACAAGAAGCTTCAAATTTGTACAAGATATTTTCTTAATTAAATGCTGTTTTTATATCTCTCGTTTTGATTGCAATTTATTCTCTAAGCATTATGTCATCCAAGTTAAATTAATTTAGTCAATACATCTGTATCTTACACAACTTTAAAATTAAAAGGATTTAAGTTACACAATGAAATTATTTCTCAATAAAATTGTGAAGTAGGTTTTTTATAACAGGAAAAATAGAAATATTAAGTGCTTGTTACAGTTTTGAGAAACTCTAATAATTAACAAACACATTTTAAAGCATTTTATACACAAATTGTTACTTCTTAAATGTTTTCTGTCCATTCATTTACAAGTATAATATAGATAAGTAATATAAAATCTGTAAGTTTCTAGAAGGGAAATTTATTGCTTTTTTCAATAAAAGAAAAACAACTTAGCCTTTTTATTCAATAGTATGAGTTCCAAATTATTTCTTCAAAATCAAAATAAAATTAATTTTCAAAATATGCGTCCTGAAAACAAACTTGCCAAAATTATCATATTGAAAATATTTTAAAATGACAATTTTTATATAGACATATTATCATATTGTTTCCAAAATTTACACAACTATAAAGTAATGAGTCCACATTCAAACTAGGTCTTCTGAGTAAAGATCCACTCTTCTTACTGTGAAAATTATTGCTCTCGATCAGCTTTCAGTAATATAAATGTGCATTTCTGTTAAACCACTGGAATTTCCACAGTCACTGGAGTATAAAGAAAATAAGGCAAAATATTTTTTAAATGTGTCTAAAGAACACAAAATCTATATTTAATGTACTTGTTCCTCAATCTTCCACTAATGCCACCACCAGACTGTTACCATATATAAACCCCTGCTAGTCATTTCTCCTAAACCTGCCCTCCCTGACTGCTCATCTCCATGTTGGGAATTGCAGTTTTTTGGCTTGTAAACCTTCCTCCTGCATCTCACAATCAATCAATCCATCAGTCAATCAATCCTCTCTCATTTCCTTTCTCCACAATATAATCCAGGAAGAGTAATGGTTTGAAAGAATGTCATATAATGCAAATAATTGAGAAAAAATCATATTTATGTGGTTAATGCATTAACTTATTTTAATCATAGATTTTTAGATAACCAAAAGGCATACTAAAATGTTAGTGGTCAATAAGCCTTCTTAGAGTTTTCAACAAGCAGCTATTCTCAATATAAATATTCCTTACATGAAACTTCCAACCTCCAACATTGCCTGAGGGGAAATGTTCACCTGCAGGAAGCACTCCCATCAGCAGGAGTCATATTAAGGACTGCCCTGTGTTTGTGCACTATGTTTCTGTGTGTCTATGCTCAATATAATATTACATGTACTTTTTTATTTGCATAGTCTTTGTCTGTATACCTATATCCCCAAATTTTGAGAAGAATGAATTTTTTTTTTCTGTACCTTCCTCTGAAGCCAGCTGCTGGTAAATAGTAGAAATCAGTGCTGAATTTTTAACAATGTTGAAAAATCAGATGAAGAGTTGAAAATCACATTTGATTAAAAGCTAATTGCTAGAAATAAGGTAAAATATGAAAAATCACTGTCAACACCTCTACTCCTCCTCTTAACTATCAGAAAACCTGAACATTAAGAAGAATTAAAGCTGATGATTTCAAAGACAGCTTGAGGAGGACCATTAGACCATAGGCATTTCTGAAGCAAAGTGATAGATTGTGAAATAAAATACACTTTAGAAAGATACTACATTAGTAAATACAAAGAATGTATAATTCTATCTCATCATATATGAGTAAAGAATTGTTCACTTTTTTAAGCATAAGGAATCTATGTGACTCTCTAAACATTGCTTCAAACAAGCAGCAACATATCTGGAAAATTAGGAATGAGATTTTCCAATGTGTGTTAATTGTAACATACATTATTGAGACAGATTATTTGATTATGTTGCATATGGGAATAGTACTGAGAGTAACATTTGTATTTTGTTTCACTGGAGATTAAACAAACAACACACATCAGTGATCAACTTTTAGATCTTGTTAAGTCCTTAATTTTCAAATGTATTATGGATAATCATTATAGCATAAATCCAATGGCTTCTGAAGGCTATATAACATAACTACTTAATATTTATCCACATTTTGTGCCATAGTGTATTATAATTATGCCCATTGAGATGACAAAGTTTCTCATTCAATATATTTTTAAAAAATATTTTGTCATCACCAATCTTCTAATTAGAAAATGGGATCTGTTGAAATTGTAAGAAAAAATAATAATGTAGGGACCTGGCATTGAAACAATGGGCTCCATCCAAAATTTGAATAAAAGTCATTGAGGAAAGAGTCCTGGCACAACAGAAAAATCCCGAGTCACTAGTTTTTGGGGTTTTGTCTTTTTTTTTTTTTCTGGATATTACTTGGTCAGGAGATGTGATGGTTAATATTGAGTGTCAACTTGATTGGAATGAAGGATGCAAAGTATTGTTCTTGGGTGTGTCTATGAGAGTATTGCTAAAGGAAATTAACATTTGAGTCAGTGGACTGTGAGAGACAGACCCACCCTCAATCTGGCTGGCACTATCTAATCAGCTGTCAGTGCAGCTAGAATAAATCAGGCAGAAGAAAGTGGAGTGAAGAGACTGCTCAGTCTTCCAGCATTCATCTTTTTCCCATGCTGGCTGCTTCCTGCCCTCAAACATCAGACTCAGCTCTTGGATTCTTGGACTTACACCAGTGATTTTCCAGGGGCTCTCAGGCCTTCAACCACAGACTGCAGGCTGCACTGTCGGCTTCCCTACTTTTGTGGTTTGGGGACTCAGACTGGCTTCCTTGCTGCTCAGCTTGCAGATGGCCTATTGTGGTACTTCACCTTGTGATAGTGTGAGTTAATTCTCCTAATAAAATCCCCTTCAAATATAAGTATATCCCATTAGTTCTCTCTCTTTAGACAACACTAATACAAGAGATGAAAGGTTTAAGAAAAAATAAGGATTCCCCAGTGTTCTCATACTCTCATTTAACTGCAGAAATACATTTTCTCATCACATTACCTTTTAAATAGTGCATAGACTTCCAGCCTATTTATGAAACTCTGTATAGCCTATGATATTCTTTACGTATTCAACAACAGAAGAAGGAAAAGGAAAAAGATTATACAAATCATCTCAAAGATTAAACATGTTAATTTCAAATTATTATGAACTTGCTATGAGTTTAATAGTTACTTATAAATTATTTTTTAAAAACATAATTCTCAAAACCTAGCTTACGATACATTTTGGAACTCACTGGTAAGTGGAGCAGTGTTTATACATTCACTAATACTAATTGTTACACCACTCTCTCAATGTGGAATTCGTATAAGGAACCACACTGGATGTCTTAGAAATGAGAATGTTTAAAGTATTGCAAAGACTGTGTTTAACATAATGAACAGTCTGTTCACACAGGATAAAACTGGTGTTAAAAAATATGTGCCTTGATGAATGAAGCCCATTTCTAAGTTCCATGATTTTGAACAAATTACCTTCACAAGCCTCGGTTATTTAGCATAAAAAATATAGGGATCAGAGGATTTCCATGGAGGGGTGGAACAAGATGATACAGTAGTACTTTCCATAAGTTTTTACTAATATTTTTAGTAACCTGGAGAAATATGCAAATATCCCATTAAAAAAATCAGATTCAATCCAAATAAGACTATTGAAAGATATAATCATATTCTCAAAAAATCAGAGATAATAAGAGGATGCTAAGACCATCAAAGAAAAGAAGCAAATAAAATATAAGGGAGTTTCAACATGCCTAGCTGCAGACTTTGCAGCCAAAACCTTATGTGCCAGGAGATTGTGGAATGATAGAGTCAAAGTGCTGAAGAAAAAGAAAAAAAACAAATTATTAACCAAGATTATCTTACCCATCAAAGCCATCCTTCAGAAATAAAGGAGAAATAAGACTTTTCTAACACACAAAGCCCAAGGGAGTTTATCACCACCAGACTTGTTTTAGATGAAATGCTAAAGATAGTTCTTCAAGCTAAAAAAAAGGTACTAAGCAACACAAAAACATTTAGAAGTATAAAACTGACTAGTACAAGTAAGTATACAGTCAAATTCAGAATATTGTAATACTGTAAGGGTGGTATGTAAATCACATATATCTGTAGTCTAAAGGTTTGAAAAACTATCAAAAATAATTGGTGCAATAATTTCTGAAGGTATATGTAATTTAAGAAAATGTAACTTGTGACATCATGAATTTACAATGTGGGCCGTAAATGGAGTCAAAGTGTAGAGATTTCTTTTTTCTGATCATAGTTACATTGTCATTCATTAAAATAATCTATTATAACTACAAAATTTTTTTATGTAATAAGCCCCATGGTAACCACAAAGCAAAATCCTATAGATACACACACACAAACAAAATAAAAAGCAACAAGAAAGGATTTATAGAAAAGCTAGAAAACTGCAGTTATAAGTCCTTATCTATCAGTAGTTACCCTGAATGTAAATGGAGTAAATTCTCCAGTCAAAAACATAGCATGACAAATGGGGGGGAAAAAAAATGACCCAACTACATGCTGCCTACAAGAGACTCATTTCACTTGTAAGGACCCACAAATTGAAAATGAAGAACTGAAAAAAGATATTTCAGAAAAATGGAAACCAAAAGAAAGAGTAGCTATCCATATTTCGGATAAAATGGATTTTAATTCAAAAATGACGTTAAAAAGACAAAGGAGGTCACTATAGTATGATAAAGTGGTCAATTCAACAAGAGGATATAACAATATATGCAGCAAGCATCAGAGGATCTAAACACATAAAGAAAATATCAATAGATACGAAGGGAGAGAGAGACTGCAATATGATAATAGTAGGCAATTTCAGTGCCTCACTTTTAGCAATGAACAGATTATCCAAACATAAAATCAGAAAATGATCATGAAACTTAAAATGTATTCTAGAGCAAATGGACCTAAAGACACATATACAGAAAATTTTATTTAACATCTGCAGAGTATGCATTTTTTCAACTAAACATAAAACATTCTCTAGGATAGATCATATATAAAACCACAAAAAGTCTGAAAACTGTAAGAAGACTGCAATCATATCAAGTATCATTTTCGACCATGGTGGTATAAAATGTGAAATCAATAACAAAAGAAATATTGGAAAATTAACAAATACATACAAATTAACATGCTTCTAAACAACTAAGGAGTTAATAAATAAATTGAAAGGAAGTTTAAAATGTTCTTAAGACAAACAAAAATGAAAACACAGCATACAAAAACCTATGGGTTACCTCAAAAGCAGTTCTAAGGGGTAAGTTTGTAGCAATAAACACCTACATCAAAAAAGGTCATAATAACATTGGCTTTACACACTTTTCAGATTGAAGTTAGAATGAATTAGGTAATGTATGTAAAAGTGCTATGTAAAGAGTAAAGGACAATATAATATGCATTATTCTTATAAGTAAAATTTATAGCCTTAACAATTAAACAGTTAAAAATGTGAGCTGTTTTTTTAATAATGGGAAATGAGAGACTTTTATGTACCACAGTGGAATCCTTAGGGCTCCTTCCAGATCTGTTTAATATGGTAATGCCATGTGCTTCAGACTTTTCCAAATATATGCCTCAGAAAAATTTAGAGCATATGCCTGCAAAAAAACCCACTTTATAAATGAAATTTTTGTTGCAATAACTTTCTATTTCATTACAAGAAAATGTTTTCTTCCCTAAATACAATCTGGAGCAAATTCTAATATCTAGTGTTCTTATATAGTATAACATAACAACCCTCTTGTAGCCATGGTATTGATGAAAAAACTGAAAGATTCAAGGAGGTTAAAAGATTTCTTCAAGATCCCATATATGTAATTGGTAAACAACATAATTAAACTCAAGAGGACTAGCTAAAATTGACCTGTTGTAACTACAGGCTTATAAAAATTTTTACCCTAGTTTTATGGGTAAAGGTAAGGAAAGTGGAGAAGTGAAATGACTTCACAAATTAAGGTACCAAATTAATATTAAAACTAAGTCTTCTTGAAGTCAGTCCTTTTCAACTATAACATTCTGATTCTTAATCAATACATTAAATGAAACCTTTTGTAGTTAGTTTAGGATGTGTGAAATCCACAATTTTGTTGTTTGACATGGAATTTGAGTGGTGGGTCAACTAAAACTCTTACACAAATTTGTGTTACCAAATTTGTTTAAAGAAGCTAAATAAAACTTTGGTATGAAAATCAGAAAAGGTATCATGAACAATGAAAATTCAAAGGCAATGTCAATCATCAACATAGATGCAAATATCCTAAATATAAATTATTAAAAATGAAATTCATATGTGTACATACCATCAGAACAGTTGATATATTCCTGGGGTAAAATAATGGGTTAATATTAAAATACCAAAGTTGTTCACAGTATAATCATATCAGTAAGTGAACAAACGTAATTAATGTTAAATTCTGTCAAAATTTCTAGCAAACTAAGAATAGAAGGAAAGTTTTTTAATGAGTTAAAGGGTATCACTTATAAAAAACTGAAAACTTCATGTCCTTTGCAGGGAAATGGATGAAGCTAGAAACCATCATTCTCAGTAAAATAACACAGGAACACAAAACCAAACACCACATGTTCTCACTCATAAGTGGGATTTGAAAAATGAGAACACATAGACACAGGGAAGGGAATATCACACACCAGGTCTTGTCGGGAGGATTGGGGACATGGGGAGGGAGTGCATTAGGACAAATACCTAATGCATGCAGGGCTTAAAACCTAGATGATGGGTTGATAGGTGCAGCAAACCACCATGGCACATGTCTACCTATGTAACATACCTGCATGTTCAGCACATAGATCCCAGAACTTAAAATAAAATAAAATAATAATAATAAAACAAAAGAACAGAAAACTTTAAACTCAAATGTGAAAGCTTAAAAGTCTTACATGAAAAATCAAAACAAGAAAAGAAATCTTATTGTCATTATTTCAGTTCAGTGTTGTTTCTGAAGGTTCTAGGCAGGGAATAAACTAGTAAACTATTTTAAGAATTAGAAACAAAAGAAGGGTCTCATTATTCACAGATGATATAGTATTATTAAAAATAAACGTGTTTGGGTGTGGTGGCTCATGCCTGCCTATAATCGTAACACTTTGTGAGGCAGAGGAGGGAGGATTGCCTGAGTCCAAGAGTTCAACATCAGCCTGGGTAACATAGCGAGATCCTGTCTCCACACACACACAAATAAATAAATAGAAGTAGAAGAGTTCGACAAGGTTGCTCAATATGTAAATGAATTGCATGTCTATACATCAATATAATGAGTTAAATATATGTTATAAAATATTTTAAAATGGCAACAAATTAATAAGATTTCTATACGTTAACTTGAGAAAGTAAGCACATGCTCTTTATGAAGATAAATTACGAAACTACATTAAAAATGTCATAGAAGTCGTCATATAAGGGAGACATCTACCGTATCCACATACAAGAAGATAAAATATCACAAGGATATAAATTAGAGTTATCCCTACATATCTCTTTGTGGTGGGCATTGGTTCCAAAATTCCCACACACACCAATACCAAAATCTGTGGATACTTAAGTAATGCAGTTGGCACTACAAAAATCCAGTAGAACCCCCACATATGAAAAGTGTCCCCACACAACCCTACATATAGATTTATTATACCACAAGTATACATGTTGTATTTTTGGTTGGCATTTTGTTGGAGATACAGAACCCACCAATTGGGAGTACAGAATGTATTTATTGAAAAAAAAATAGCATTTAAGTGGACCTGCACAGATCAAACTCATGTTGTTCAAGGGTCAAGTGTACTTATACATTTTCAGTAAAATCAATGGAATTCACATTAATTTCTAATGACTTTTTATGCAACTTAATAGGATGCTTGCATATGTAGCTAATTTCAATATTTATATAAAAGGGCACAGGGCAAAAATAAAACAACACAACCCTGAAGAAGAAGAACAATATGCAGAACGTGACCTATGCTATACAAAATCTCATCAAAAAACCAATTAACTCTGTGTTTGATTGGCTGAGGGTTGACAATCTGTCAAATGGAATAGGATAATGAGCCCAGAAACAGATTCAGGTACATGGAAGAACACTGCCTGACAGAGCCAAAATACAGAAGAACAAAGGAAGGATGATTGTTTTGTATGTTATCCTAGAATAATTGGTACTCTACATTGCAAGGCCAAAGGTAGGGGTGGAAGGGTTCTATACAGAGTGAATGCTAAACAGTTTTGTCATAGCCAACTGGTAACAAATTTTTTTTTTATTATTATTATACTTTAAGTTTTAGGGTACATGTGCACAACGTGCGGGTTTGTTACATATGTATATATGTGCCAAGTTGGTGTGCTGCACACATTAACTCGTCATTTAGCATTAGGTATATCTCCTAATGCTATCCCTCCCCACTCCCCCCACGCCACAACAGTCCCCGGTGTGTGATGTTCCCCTTCCTGTGTCCATGTGTTCTCATTGTTCAATTCCCACCTACGAGTGAGAACATGCGGTGTTTGGTTTTTTCTCCTTGTGATAGTGTGCTGAGAATGATGGTTTCCAGCTTCATCCATGTTCCTACAAAGGACATGAGCTCATCATTTTTTATGGCTGCATAGTATCCCATGGTGTAAATGTGACACATTTTCTTAATCCAGTCTATCATTGTTGGACATTTGGGTTGGTTCCAAGTCTTTGCTATTGTGAATAGTGCCGCAGTAAACATACATGTGCATGTGTCTTTATAGCAGCATGATTTATAATCCTTTGGGTAGATACCCAGTAATGGGATGGCAGGGTCAAATGGTATTTCCAGTTCTAGATCCCTGAGGAATCGCCACACTGACTTCCACAATGGTTGAACTAGTTTACAGTCCCACCAACAGTGTAAAAGCATTCCTATTTCTCCACATCCTCTCCAGCACCTGTTCTTTCCTGACTTTTTAATGATCGCCATTCTAACTGGTGTGAGATGGTATCTCATTGTGGTTTTGATTTGCATTTCTCTGATGGCCAGTGATGATAAGCATTTTTTCATGTGTATTTTGGCTGCATAAATGTCTTCTCTTGAGAAGTGTCTGTTCATATCCTTCGTCCACTTTTTGATGGGGTTGTTTGTTTTTTTCTTGTAAATTTGTTGGAGTTCATTGCAGATTCTGGATATTAGCCCTTTGTCAGATGAGGTTGCAAAAATTTTCTCCCATTCTGTAGGTTGCCTGTTCACTCTGATGGTGGTTTCTTTTGCTGTGCAGAAGCTCTTTAGTTTAATTAGATCCCATTTGTCAACTTTGGCTTTTGTTGCCATTGCTTTTGGTGTTTTAGACATGAAGTCCTTGCCCATGCCTATGTCCTGAATGGTATTGCCTAGGTTTTCTTATAGGGTTTTTATGGTTTCAGGTCTAACATTTAAGTCTTTAATCCATCTTGAATTAATTTTTGTATAAGGTATAAGGAAGGGATCCAGTTTCAGCTTTCTACATATGGCTAGCCAGTTTTCCCAGCACCATTTATTAAATAGGGGATCGTTTCCCCATTGCTTGTTTTTGTCAGATTTGTCAAAGATCAGATGGTTGTAGATATGCGGCATTATTTCTGAGGGCTCTATTCTGTTCCATTGGTCTGTATCTCTGTTTTGGTACCAGTACCATGCTGTTTTGGTTACTGTAGCCTTGTAGTATAGTTTGAAGTCAGGTAGTGTGATGCCTCCAGCTTTGTTCTTTTGGCTTAGGATTGACTTGGCAATGCGGGCTCTTTTTTGGTTCCATATGAACTTGAAAGTAGTTTTTTCCAATTCTGTGAAGAAAGCCATTGGTAGCTTGATAGAGATGACATTGAATCTGTAAATTACCTGGGGCAGTATAGCCATTTTCACGATATTGATTCTTCCTACCCATGAGCATGGAATGTTCTTCCATTTGTTTCTGTCCTCTTTTATTTAATTGAGCAGTGGTTTGTAGTTCTCCTTGAAGAGGTCCTTCACATCCCTTGTAAGTTGGATTCCTAGGTATTTTATTCTCTTTGAAGCAATTGTGAATGGGAGTTCACTCATGATTTGGCTCTCTGTTTGTCTGTTATTGGTGTATAAGAATGCTTGTGATTTTTGCACATTGATTTTGTATCCTGAGACTTTGCTGAAGTTGCTTATCAGCTTAAGGAGATTTTGGGCTGAGACGAGGGGTTTTCTAGATATATAATCATGTTGTCTGCAAACAGGGACAATTTGACTTCCTCTTTTCCTAATTGAATGCCCTTTATTTCCTTCTCCTGCCTGATTGCCCTGGCCAGAACTTCCAACACTATGTTGAATAAGAGTGGTGAGAGAGGGCATCCCTGTCTTGTGCCACATTTCAAAGGGAATGCTTCCAGTTTTTGTCCATTCAGTATGATATTGGCTGTGGGTTTGTCATAGATAGCTCTTATTATTTTGAGATACGTCCCATCAATACCTAATTTATTGAGAGTTTTTAGCATGAAGGTTGTTCAATTTTGTCAAAAGCCTTTTCTGCATCTATTGAGATAATCATGTGGTTTTTGTCGTTGGTTCTGTTTATATGCTGGATTACGTTTATTGATTTTCGTATGTTGAACCAGCCTTGCATCCCGGGGATGAAGCCCGCTTGATCATGGTGGATAAGCTTTTTGATGTGTTGCTGGATTCGGTTTGCCAGTATTTTATTGAGGATTTTTGCATCAATGTTCGTCAAGGATATTGGTCTAAAATTCTCTTTTTTTGTTGTGTCTTTGCCAGGCTTTGGTATCAGGTTGATGCTGGCCTCATAAAATGAGTTAGGGAGGATTCCCTCTTTTTCTATTGATTGGAATAGTTTCAGAAGGAATGGTACCAGCTCCTCCTTGTACCTCTGGTAGAATTCGGCTGTGAATCCATCTGGTCCTGCACTTTTTTTGGTTGGTAAGCTATTAATTATTGCCTGAATTTCACAGCCTGTTATTGGTCTATTCAGAGATTCAACTTCTTCCTGGTTTAGTCTTGGGAGAGTGTGTGTGTCATGGAATTTATCCATTTCTTCTAGATTTTCTAGTTTATTTGCATAGAGGTGTTTATAGTATTCTCTGATGGTAGTTTGTATTTCTGTGGGATCAGTGGTGATATCCCCTTTGTCATTTTTTTATTGCATCTATTTGATTCTTCTCTCTTTTCTTCCTTATTAGTCTTGCTAGCAGTCTATCAATTTTGTTGATCTTTTCAAAAAAACCAGCTCCTGGATTCACTGCTTTTTTGAAGGGTTTTTTGTGTCTCTATTTCCTTCAGTTCTGCTCGATCTTAGTTATTTCTTGCCTTCTGCTAGCTTTTGAATGTGTTTGCTCTTGCTTCTCCAGTTCTTTTAATTTTGATGTTAGGGTCTCAATTTTAGATCTTTCCTGCTTTCTCTTGTGGGCGTTTAGTGCTATAAATTTCCCTCTATACACTGCTTTGAATGTGTCCCTGAGATTCTGATATGTTGTGTCTTTGTTCTCGTTGCTTTCAAAGAACATCTTTATTTCTGCCTTCATTTCATTATGTACCCAGTAGTCATTCAGGAGCAGGTTGTTCAGTTTCCATGTAGTTGAGTGGTTTTGAGTGAGTTTCTTAATCCTGAGTTCTAGTTTGATTGCACTGTGGTCTGAGAGAGAGTTTGTTATCATTTCTGTTCTTTTACATTTGCTGAGGGGTGCTTTACTTCCAAGTATGTGGTCAATTTTGGAATAGGTGTGGTGTGGTGCTGAAAGAATGTATATTCTGTTGATTTGGGGTGGAGAGTTCTGTAAATGTCTATTAGGTCTACTTGGTGCAGAGCTGAGTTCAATTCCTGGATATCCTCATCAACTTTCTGTCTCGTTGATCTGTCTAATGTTGACAGTGGGGTGTTAAAGTCTCCCATTATTATTGTGTGGGAGTCTAAGTCTCTTTGTAGGTAACTAAGGACTTGCTTTACGAATCTGGGTGCTCCTGTATTGGGTGCATATATATTTAGGATAGTTAGTTCTTCTTGTTGAATTGATCCCTTTACCATTATGTAATGGCCTTCTTTGTCTCTTTTGATCTTTGTTGGTTTAAAGTCTGTTTTATCAGAGACTAGGATTGCAACCCCTGCCTTTTTTTTGTCTTCTGTTTGCTTGGTAGATCTTCTTCCATCCCTTTATTTTGAGCCTATGTGTGTCTCTGCATGCGAGATGGGTTTCCTGAATACAGCACACTGATGGGTCTTGACTCTTTATCCAATTTGCCAGGTTGTGCCTTTTAATTGGAGCATTTATCCCATTTACATTTAAGGTTAGTATTGTTATGTGTGAATTTGATCCTGTCATTATGATGTTAGCTGCTTATTTTGCTCGTTAGTTGGTGCAGTTTCTTCCTAGCCTTGACGGTCTTTACAATTTGGCATGTTTCTGCAGTGGCTGGTACCGGTTGTTCCTTTCCATGTTTAGTGCTTCCTTCAGGAGCTCTTTTAGGGCAGGTCTGGTGGTGACAAAATCCCTCAGCATTTGCTTGTCTGTAAAGTATTTTATTTCTCCTTCACTTATGAAGCTTAGTTTGGCTGGATATGAAATTCTGGGTTGAAAATTCTTTTCTTTAAGAATGTTGAGTATTGGCCCCCACTCTCTTCTGGCTTGTAGAGTTTCTGTGGAGAGATCAGCTGTTAGTCTGATGGGCTTCCCTTTGTAGGTAACCCAACCTTTCTCTCTGGTTACCCTTAATATTTTTTCCTTCATTTCAACTTTGGTGAATCTGACAATTATGTGTCTTGGAGTTGCTCTTCTCGAGGAGTATCTTTGTGGCATTCTCTGTATTTCCTGAATTTGAATGTTGGCCTGCCTTGCTAGATTGGGGAAGTTCTCCTGGGTAATATCCTGCAGAGTGTTTTCCAACTTGGTTCCATTCTCCTCGTCACTTTCAGGTACACCAATGAGACGTAGAGTTGGTCTTTTCACGTAGTCCCATATGTCTTGGAGGCTTTGTTCATTTCTTTGTATTTTTTTTTCTCTAACCTTTTCTTCACACTTCATTTCATTCATTTCGTCTTCCATCGCTGATACCCTTTCTTCCAGTTGATTGCATTGGTTACTGAGGCTTGTGCATTCATCACGTAGTTCTCGTGCCATGGTTTTCAGCTCCATGAAGTCCTTTAAAGACTTCTCTGCATTGGTTATTCTAGTTATCCATTCGTCTAATTTTTTTTTAAAGTTTTTATCTTCTTTGCCATTGGTTTGAACTTCCTTCTTTAGCTCAGAGTAGTTTGATCTTCTGAAGCCTTCCTCTCTCAACTCATCAAAGTCATTCTCCGTCCAGCTTTGTTCCATTGCTGGTGAGGAGCTGCGTTCCTTTGGAGGAGGAGATGCTCTCTGATTTTTAGAGTTTCCCATTTTTCTGCTCTGTTTTTTCCCCATCTTTGTGGTTTTATCTACCTCTGGTCTTTGATGATGGTGACATACAGATGGGTTTTTGGTGTGGATGTCCTTTCTGTTTGTTAGTTTTCCTTCTAACAGTGAGGACCCTCAGCTGCAGGTCTGTTGGAGTTTACTGGAGGTCCACTCCAGACCCTGTTTGCCTGAGTATCAGCAGTGGAGGATGCAGAACAGCGGATATTGGTGAACCGCAAATGCTGCTGCCTGATCGTTCCTCTGGAAGTTTTGTCTCAGAGGAGTACCCGGCTGTGTGAGATGTCAGTCCGCCCCTACTGGGGGGTGCCTCCCAGTTAGGCTACTTGGGGGTCAGGGACCCACTTGAGGAGGCAGTCTGCTGGTTCTCAGATCTCAAGCTGCATACTGGGAGAACCACTACTCTCTTCAAAGCTATCGGACAGGGACATTTAAGTCTGCAGAGGTTATTGCTGTCTTTTGTTTGTCTGTGCCCTGCCCCCAGAGGTGGAGCCTACAGAGGCAGGCAGGCCTCCTTGAGCTGTGGTGGGCTCCACCCATTTCCAGCTTCCAGGCCACTTTGTTTACCTACTCAAGCCCAAGCAATGGCTGGCGCCCCTCCCCCAGGCTCACTGCCACCTTGCAGTTTGATCTCAGACTGCTGTGCTAGCAATCAGCAAGGCTCCGTGGGCATAGGACCTTCAGAGCCACCTGCGGGATATAATCTCCTGGTGTGCCGTTTGATAAGCCCATTGGAAAAGCACAGTATTAGGGTGGGAGTTACCCGATTTTCCAGGTGCCATCTGTCACCCCTTTCTTTGACTAGGAAAGGGAATTCCCTGACCCCCTGCGCTTCCCAGATGAGGTAATGCCTCGCCCTGCTTAGGCTCACGCACGGTGCACTGCACCCACTGTCCTGCACCCACTGTCCGGCACTTATGTTTTTAATCAGGGAAGTGGCATGATTTGATTTTTATTTTAGAAAGTTACTTTCTATCCTTACGGATTGCTATTAAATAATTTTTTCCCTAATCAATCTCCATTTCATGGTGAAGAGAAATATTATGATTATAGATGTTTTGCTTCCCTTCAAAAAGATCATTGATTGCTTTCAGTAAAAAAAGTTATTCAACTACTTGACTAGTCCTCCTGGACATTCCCTTGCAATAATCTATTTTCATATAATCTGCCACTACTTATATATTTCCTTTAGCCACATTGAGGAGTCTCTGCAAATCTTAAACTCTGTAGTCTAGCTTTTAATTTCAGTATTATTGATTGTTTTGTAAACTTTTTTTGGCATTTTATGATTAATACTTGCTTTAAAATATGCTTTATATAAATTAGTGACTTTTGATCAAGGTACTAATGAATTTGTGGGAACCTATTAAAGAAACAAATATATTTCATAACTTATTTTGAAACATTTTCATATAATATAAATCTTTACATTGCCAGGAAAAAAAAAATCAGAATTTCAAGAAGCATATGTAAAGCTTCTAATAAAACCTATCATATACTAAGTAAATAAATGCTAATTTTCCTACTTTATCCTGCTCTATTAGTGGGTATTAAGCTAATTGGGATGAGCTAAAATGGATTATGTAAAGTTGGATTTTAAGGTGAATTAGACACAATTTGTAGAACACAGAAATTTAAAGTATTAAATATGCAGAGATTTTGTAATGATAAAATTCAAGCTCTTCTTTAGAGAAATAACACAAAGAGACACAAGTTTTAGACAGTATCTGTGGGTAATACACAGTTGCTGATCTGCTTACTGTTAAAATCAAGAATCAAGATGTGATACAGGTTTCTTAATAAACAGCATAGTAAATCTTTCAATATTAATTATATTTAAGTGTCATACATAAAATTTTTTCTCAAATTAATACTTCACTTAACAGAAAAAGTTGCAAATGTACATGAGCACCCCCCCCCCACACACACACATACATTATACATTTCCATTATTGTTTCTTAGATATTGCTTTCAAGAAACCTGGAGAAAGGGATCATTTTACATTTTGGTTGCAAAATATTTCCTAACATTTATCTAATGATATATACTGTGGAGAGCAATACATAATTATTTCTTTGGGCAGTTATTCATGGATTATACTATATTGGTAATAACTACCAGATATGGGACCAAATTATATATATCTTTACTTAAGCTACCTGATCACTACAGAGTAATTATCAAACTATCAATTTTATAGAAAATCCTAGTATTCAATTATTCTCTCATAATATTCCAACTTTCACATTTAATCTTGTATATAGAAACACTAACTATAAAAAATACTTGATTTTTAAAAATTGATATAGAATTTTATGATCTGCTAACCAAAACAAAACAAAAAAAAATGAAAAATGCCCCAAGCTAAGATTCCTTTACACTTTCAAAAATATATATTTGTTTTATTAAAAGTAATATGTGGTGTTGGAGTAAATATTCATAATTAATCTGAGAGAAATATTATACTCATTTGGTGTATTTTCTATATATACACACATATACTTCAGAGTTTCTATTATTCATTTCTTCTAAAATACATGTATTCTATTATATTTCTAGTCTATTAAAAAAACTCTGTTGCAGTAGAGAGGGAAGGTTCATTGATTCCTGATTTTTCTCTTACACAGCTTTTAAGTTTTCGTTATTCTCATGCAAGGGGAGTGGCTATTAGTATGTACTGAAAACTTAAATAATTACATGTGAAAAATAAAAGCTGGCAACTAGCAACCACCCACCTAGCAACAACCATGTTTCAAGTAAATTTTTAAATGGCTAGACTCATCCTTAAACTCCATATGAGTTTCTAGAAATAAAGGCAAGAGCTACTGCATATAAAGAGAAACAGGGAGGAAGTTGAAGATGAAAGTTAATATCTTTAGCTTGGACATGTGATTGTGTATCTTAAGTCTTTAATCTGACAATCAGATATAATTCAGGAAATAATTCATGAATGTGGAGAAATACTGGAATTAGATGTTGAGGTTTTCCTCCTAACAGAATACCAGTTTTGCCCATTATGAACCCTGGTCCATAGCTCTCAGTGGGAGCTGAGCCCGTCCTCATCTCCAACAGAGGGCTTCATTGGTCACCCAGTTCTAGCCAGTTAACTTCTAGGAAAGGTTCTCCTTAACTTGAGAAAGTTATTTCTTCCTCCTATTACAGAAGAACAGTTTTGGAAACGGAGTGACTAGCCATCACATTGGAATCATGTGAAAAGCAAGTCTCATATTAAAACTCAGCCTGTGAATATCAGAGTGGAGAGACAGGAGTAATCTAGGTATTTTATGAGAAGTCAGTTAAGCTTTTCCATAAACATACATCCATCTGAAAACCCACCCTATTCTTGAACTTCCTTTTATTTAACCTATTTCATTTCTTTATTGCTGAAACTATTTGGAATTAGAATTTCTGGTTATTTGTACCAAAAGCATACAAAATTATAGGTATAATCATAATATGAATCCATACAATTCAGATAAAGTTTCTTCTATTTAGGAAGGTAAAAACTTAAGTGCAGAAGTTTATTATTTAATTCTAGACAATAAAAATGTATAGAATTATTATTTTACTTTAGCCCATTATTACTGAAAATAATCTCAGTATTTATGTTTTCTTCACAAAGCTATTCTGTGCTTGCTATAATCATTATTCTCATCTGTTTAAAATTTTTGCTGAGGGAAGCATAAAATAAAATCTGTACTTATATATTTAAATAGAAAACACCACAAATATGATTGAAAACTGTGTGCAAAATATCGTCCTGACTTTTTAAAATCTATATTTAACTATAATTTTCCAAGCACATTTAAACAAAAGCAATTATATTTTCTATTAGATAGTGTGTTAGTCTGTTTTGTATTGCTATCAAGAGATACCTGAGGCTGGGTAATTTATAAAAGAAAGAGGTTTAATTGGTTCATGGTTCAGCAGGCTGTACCAGCATAGCACCAACATCTCCTCAGCTTCTGGTGAGGCCCTCAGAAATCATGGTGGAGGTGAAGTGGGAGGCAGGGTTTCACATGGCAAGAGAGGAAACGAGAGAGAAAGGAAGTACCACACTCTTTTAAACAGCCATATATCATGTGAACTCAGAGTGAGAACTCACTCATTACTGTGAAGATGGCACCAAGCCATTCATGAATGATCAGCCCTAGTGATCCAAACACCTTCCACTTGGCTCCAACTTCAACATTGGGGATTACATTTCCACATGGGATTTGGAGGGGACAAACATCCAAGCTATAGTATGTGCTTTCAGATGCTTGACAGAATCATGTATCATGCTAGGTTCTTGGAATAGAATGATAAATCCAGCATACTCTCAAGTACTTTACAATTGAATGCATATATGGGTTTCCATACAGATAATTAGTCACATAATGAAAAAGCCACTGAATTTTTTAAAATTTAGTCTATAAAATACATATCTTAATAATATTAAGGAGTTTTTGAGTTTTTTATTGTCAGGCAGTATATTTCTTTCTAAAAGCTATAAAATAATATGAAAAGACTTCGAAATGTTGTGAAAAATGGTATTAGATAAAAATTTTAAAAATTAGCTTTATTTCTCAACATAAACCTCATCAAGGTCAACACACTTTTACAAGCAATGATACCAACCATTTAGTCCATCTCTAAGGAAATGAGTGTCCTGGGACCTTACCCATGTCAATGCAGCCTTTTTACATTATTAACTGAAGAAAAATAAAGATTAGAAAACAAAAAGAAGTCAGAAAGAGGCAAATCAGAACTATAAGGTGGATGCCTAATGATTTTCTATTGATAATCTCAGAAATTACCCCTAATTTCATGAGAGGAATAAGCAGGAGCATTGTCATGGTGGAATAGTACTCTCTGGTGAAGCTTTCATGGGCATGTTTCTGCTAAAGCTTTGACTAACTTTCTTAAAACACTGTAATAATAGGGACATGTTATCCTTCTTTGGCCCTCCAGAAAGTCAAAAAGAAAAATGTCTTGAGCATCCCCCAGAAATCTTTTTTAATGACTCTATTAGTCCATTTTCATGCTGCTGATGAGGTCATAACTGAGACTGGGCAGTTTACAAAAGAAAGAGTTTTATTGGACTTACAGTTCCACATGGCTGGGGAGGCCTCACAATCATGGCCAAAGACAAGGAGCAAGTCACATATTACATAGATGGCAGCAGGCAAAGAGAGAGATTGTGCTGAGAAAAAGAGAGATGGCAGCAGGCAAAGAGAGAAACTCTTGTTTTTAAAACTATCAGATCTTGGAAGAACCATTCATAATCACAAGAACAGCACAGGAAAGACCTGTCCCCATGATTCAATCATCTCTCACCAGGTTCCTCCTACAACATGTGAGAATTATGGGCTACAAGATGAGATTTGGGTGAGGACACAGAGCCAAATCTTATCATTTCACACCTGGCCCTTCCCAAAACTCATATCTTCACATTTCAAAACCAATTGTGCCTTCCCAATAGTTCCCCAAAGTCTCAACTCATTTGAGCATTAACTCAAAAGTCCACAGTCCAAAGACTCATCTGAGACAAGGCAAGTCCCTCCCCACTATGAGCCTGTAAAAGCAAAAGCAAGTTAATTGCTTCCTAGATACAATAGGGGCTACAGGCATTGGGTAAAGACATCCATTCCAAATGGGAAAACTTGGCCAAAACCAAGTAGCTACAGGTCCCATGCAAGTCCAAAATCCAGCAGGGCAGTCAAATTTTAAAGCTCCAAAATGATCTCCTTTGACTCCATGTCTTACATCCAAGTCACACTGATGCAAGAAGTGGGTTCCCATTGTCTTGGGCACCTCCACAACTGTGGCTTTGCAGGGTACAGCTTCTCTCCTGGCTGCCTTCGTGGGCTGGCGTTGAGTGTCTGTGGCTTTTCCAGGTGCACAGTGCAAGCCGTCAGTGGATCTACCATTCTGAGTTCTGGAGAATGGTGGTCCTCTTCTCACAACTCCACTAGGCAGTGCCCCAGTAGGGACTCTGTGTCAGGGCTCCCACCCAACATTTCCCTTCTGCACTGCCGTGGCAGAAGTTCTCCATGAGGACATTGCCCCTATAGCAAACTCCTGCCTGGGCATCCAGATGTTTCCATATATCTTCTGAAATCTAGGCAGAGGTTCCCAAATCTCAATTCTTGACTTCTGTGCACCTGCAGGCTCAACACCACATGGAAGCTTCCAAGGCTTGGGGCTTCCACCCTCTGAAGCAATGGCTCAAGCTGTACCTTGGCCCCTTTTAGTCATGGCTGGAACAGCTGGAACATAGGACATCAAATCCCTAGACTGCACACAGCGGAAATACCCTTAGCCTGGCCCACAAAATCACATTTTCCTTCTAGGCCTCCAGGCCTGTAATGAGAGGGGCTGCCATGAAGACCTCTGACATGCCTTGGAGATATTTTCCCCATTATCTTGGGGGATTAACATTTGGCTTCTCATTACTTATGCAAATATCAGCAGCAGGCTTTAATTTCTCCTCAGAAAATGGGATTTTCTTTTCTATCGCATTGTCAGGGTGCAAATTTTCTGAACTTTTATGCTCTGCTTCACTTATAAAACTGAATGCCTTTAACAGCACCCAAGTCACCTCTTGAATGTTTTGCTGCTTAGAAATTTTTTCTGCCAGATATCCTAAATCATGTTCCTCAAGTGCAAAGTTCTACAATTCTCTGGGGCAGGGGCAAAATACCTCCAGTCTCTTTTCTAAAACATAACAAGGGTCACCTTTGCTCCATTTCCCAACAAGTTCCTAATCTCTGTCTTAGACCACCTTAGCCTGGATTTCATTGTCCATATCATTATCAGCATTTTGGTCAAAGCCATTCAACAAGTCTCTAGGGAATTCCAAACTTTCCCACATTTTCCTGTCTTCTTCTGAGCCCTCCAAACTGTTCCAACCTCTGCCTGTTGCCCAGTTCCAAAGTCAATTCCACATTTTCAGGTATCTTTTCAGCAGTGCCCACTCTACTGGTACCAATTTACTGCATTAATCTGTTTTCATGCTGCTGATAAAAACATACCTGAGACTGGGTGATTTACAAAAGAAAGAGGTTTATTGGACTTACAGTTCCACATGGCTGGAGAGGCCTCATAATCATGGTGGAAGGCAAGGAGGAGCAAGTCACCTCTTACATGGATGGCAGCAGGCAGAGATAGCTTGTGCAGGGCAACTCTTGTTTTTAAAATCATCAGATCTCATGAGACCCATTCACTATTGCAAGAACAGCACAGGAAAAACATTCAGTCATATCCCACTGGGTCCCTCCCACAACACATGGGAATTGTGGGAGCTACAAAATGAGATTTGGGTGGGGACACAGAGCCAAACGATATCAATGATGTTTGATCTTAACTGGTCCACTTTTGCTCCGACTAGACCACTTCCACCTCTTGATAGCCATTCCTTTGATTGTGCTTTGTGTTCAATATCATACTAGTGGAGCCATGTATCATCTCCTGTTACAACTCTTCAAAGATATACTTCAAGATCTTGTTCTTGTTTGTTTAAAATTGCAATTGAAAGCTCTGTTCTTGTCTACAGCTGATCTGGGCACAACAGTTTTGACATCCCCTGAGTGGAAAGTTTGCTCAACTTTAATTTTTCATTCAGAGTTGTGTAACCTGAACCAGCTGAGATGTCAATAGTGTTGGCTATTGTTTTTATTGTTAATTATTGGTCCTCTTCAGTTAGGACATGAATATGATTAATTTTTCCCTTGAAAATTGATATGGATGGTCAGTCACTAAGGACTTCATCTTCAACGTAGTCTTGTCCCTTCTTAAAACAAGTTTTTCACTTGTAAACTGTGAATTTCTTTGGGGCATTGTCCACATAATTTCTTTGTAAAGCATCAATGATTTTACCATTCTTTCACCCAAGCGTCATCGTAAATTTGATATTTGTTCTTGCTTCAATTTTAGCAGAATTCATGTTCCGATAGGGGCTGTTTTCAAACAGATGTCTTATCCTTCTTAGTAACTCAAATATATTCTGTTCAGACATGTCATGATGAGTGAAATTCATCCATAGTTTTTAAATAATACATATTTTATGTGAACTTTTTGAAGACCCCCTGTATGTAATTTTTTTTAATTTCATCAATATTGGGTATATTCTTCTTGTAATGTTTGTTTTTGAAAACATTTTATGCTCTTTCACAATTTGAATTTTAAATCAAACTGATACATGACTTTATTCTCAATTTGTTAAAATAAATGCCTGAAATCTTTAAAACAATTTCTTGTTGTTTAAAATGTTATTGTATTATGCTTTTAACATCACCATTGAAACGCTACATGGGGAAAAAAAATACGTCCCTATCATTTAACAACTGAAAAAATTAGAATGTCAAAATTGAAAGGACATTGTTATTTTTTCAGTCATTAACTTGTCCTTCACTAATGAAGTCAGTCCTTGATTAAACACACACACAAACACACACACATATACTCATGCTTTTATGTCTATAAAGTGCAAATGCTTCCTGGCACTATTTTGAACCTTATTTCCAGTGAAAAAAATTAATTTGAGGCTTGCTGGTTATTTATTTAGAAATTGTTGCAAGTTTGAAAATGTAGCAAAATGAGTAATTCTAAAGCATCATTAAAAATTCCAAATAAAGACAGCACACATAGGATATAAAATTTCTTGAAGTTTTAAAGTACAGATTCGAAAATGAATATTATCCTGTGATAGACAGCAAACTAAAACTCACATGGTTTTATAAATAATATTTTCTAGTAGTTATAAATAATACATAATTCGAAAGTTTTAAAAGAGAAAGAAAGCTTGTGTTGGGGACGTCATGAAAATAACAAAAGAAGAAAGGAACTGGAAGAAAGGCGATATTCAAATCCATTGTTTCAGGAATCATTAGCCAAGAACAATCAATCCAGTATTTATCAAGCAAAAAAAAATGATTTAATAATAATATAAAGTAGTTAACAACTTATTCAAAAATAAGCTAACTTGGTTTTATTAATCACATATTTACAAATTTAAGAAATTTAACTGTGGAGTATTTTGCTCAAAGTGTCTTCATTTTTTTCTGAAAATCTACAGCTAATTAGAATATCATTCAGAAGGTGAGAGTTGTTAAGAAACTCATATAATTTAGAGTGTTAATACAAAAGGTTAACAATTTCTATGCCTCTCAATAATCTCTAGCATTCCCTCACAAACCTCCCAAATTAAATTATTAACAATATTAATCATAATTTGTATCAATATCTTATATAAAGAAGAAATAAGTACATATTTAGAAAATGTGCCCTTTTCTGTTAACCTGTAACATAAAATCTAAGTAAAAGCAGTGTTGAAGAGTAATCATCTTGATTTCCTTGCCTTACAATGAGATTTTATCATGAAGCCATCAAATACAAAGAAATCATGAGAAAACTGCCATGACTATTCCAAAGGAAAGAAGTGCCTGGGCTTGAAAGAGGCAGGAAAGAGACGTATGAGTCATTAGAGAAAACATATGCTATGTTAATAATGTGAAACCTAGGTATTGAATATTTATTTCAACCTAAATTGTATTTTCTTTCTGACTCCACAGATTTCAGTTGTGTTCGTTATTATGGAGATTCTTATCTAGAATTTCAGAATGTGGCTTTAAATCCACAAAATAACATCTCCCTAGAATTTCAGACCTTCAGCTCCTATGGACTTCTGCTGTATGTCAAGCAAGACTCAAATTTAGTAGATGGATTTTTTATTCAATTGTTTATTGAAAATGGTACTTTAAAGGTAAGTTATTCAGTTCATTTAATTTTTTAAAAATTACAAAGTTGTTCTAATTATGTGCTTCATTGGTTATTTTCAAAATAAAATTTAAACTTAACTCTATATATTATACTCACCACCAGGATGTCTCTTCCTCTACTTTTATAATTTCTTTCTATGTATATATGAACCAACAACAACCAAGTATTTTTAAGCAAAAAAACTGATTTAATAATAATATAAAGTGGTTAACAACTTATTCAAAAAATAAGCTAACTGGATTTCATTAATCACATATTTATAAATTTAAAAAATATAATTGTCAGAGTATTTTGCTCAAAAGGTCTCTATTTTTTCTGGAAAATATACCTAATTAGAATATCATTCAGAAGACAAGAGAGTGTTCTTAAGAAGCTCATATACTATACGGAGAAAAATTTACATTCATACTGATAGATCAGTTTATATATATTTAGATATTAATATTTCAAACGGTACATGATTTGAATTAACATTCATTGTCTTTTTTTCTCCTTATTTTCAACTTTTCTTCTACTTCTTTATTGACCAGTTTCCCAATTTCTTAATTTCTCAATGATAATAATTGTTACCATTTTTATAACCTTAAGGGCAGGTAGAGTCTGGGAAACCCTAGGGAATCCCAAGATATTTTTAGAGGATCCTCAAGAGAAAACCTGTTTTTGTAAGTTTTCTGTAGGCAAGGGGTGTTATTTGCCTTATTCACTTTTACTCTCATAAGTGTATAGTAGAGTTTTCCAGAGGCTACATGACATGCAATTATATCCTTGCTCTAATCGCTAATGTATCATTTTATTATGTATTTTTGTATTTTAAAAATGTGTGTTGTAATTTTTAGCAATGTAAATATTGATAGACACAACTGAGTTAACAAAAACTCCTTGGGGTTCTCAATAAACGTTAAGAATGCAAAGAGACTGTGAGATCAAAAAGTTTGAGATTGCTGACTTTGCACTTGGTAAGTGTTATAAGAACCTTTCAAAAGTCCAAGGTTATGCAGCTAATAACATTTTGAAACCAACTTCATTTGAAAGTGCATGCTCTTTTCCCAACATCATTCTACCTTAACAAATTTTCTCATATCCCTGCTCTGAATACCTGGTTTAGGGAACTCATCCCAATCATCATTGCAATAACTCAGCACAATAAGGTAATTAACTTATATAATTCTAATATATGAAACATAATAACAGCATTTGGGCTACCATTTCTTTTATGATGTGATTTAAGTGTACATGTTGTGAATTTCCATGAAAGGATGAGTTATACCTTATTATTTAAATAGGCAAATTCCCTTAGTTTGACTTTCTTTAAATGCTCATGTTTCTGAAGTAATATAATATGTATATATATATAGCACCATGGCACTCCTGCCTGGGAGATAGAGCCAAAAAAAAAAGGAAAAAAAAGCTAGCCTTCATAGCCTTCATATATAATTATGTCCCAGGTATAATTCTGTGTGTTCCACTTTGATTGACTTATTTGCCCATTTATAATATTTACTTCACAATATTCATTCATTTACCAATTTAAATCACACAAAAATTTGTATTACCCCATTTTACAAGTGAGTAGATTTTAGCACAAAGCACATGTGAAGTCTCAAAACTTCCAAGTAACAGAGCTGAGTTTTGAACTCTGATCATCTAGCTGAAATGTAAATGATCTTAAATTTTCTTAAGATGGAGATTGACAAATTATTACAATTAAGTAAATAATAGTAATTATTGTAGACTTGTAAGTATATATCCTTTCTTTTTCATAAAACCAAAGGGAAAGAAATTCTATACCTCTATTCACTAGTTAGTTTTATGGTTCCTAAATATCTTCGTTTAACCTATTGTGAATTAATTTTTTTCCCATTTGATAGGGAAAGTAGTGGCTATCCATTAGTCTTAATAATACATTATTTCATAAAATATTTTCACCTACAATCCTACAAGTCTCCAATAATTCCTCCTAATGCTTCTTATTGGAGTTTTTAAAGTCAACTGACAATAAATAATCTTATAAAGGAAAGGAGTCTTTTGCAATGGCCCAAATATCATAAAAAGTTAAAATATATAGCATTATCTTTATCTTTGGACTATATGTGAGAGGATTTGGGTATATCAACTTAAATACAGCTAGGGGCACAAGTTATGAAACACAATGCAAGTGAGTTTCTTAACACATGTGGGTTATAGATCACTTTTAGATACAATAAAAATATTAAAGCCCCTCTCTGGGAAAGAATAGACACAATATAATCCATATACCTGTAGGCACATGCTTGCTAAGAAGCTTAATAAGCCAATGTAGCACATCCATGTATTTCCTGGGGATACTTGGTTAATCATACCTGATATAGACATGATTTTTCCTCTCTAGATCATAACTTAGTTGCCATTAACAGTAATTCTACAAATGAACCCAGACACCCTGACATCTCAAAAAACTTGGAATGAATGGTTAGTTTTCACAATCTTGAAGTTTGCCTTCCTGTGACATTAATATTGCCCTCTAGATTGTATTAACCATTCTTTGCCTTGCTCAATTGCTGTTATGTAAGGAAAATTCCTAAAATACTTGCTTTCTGCTAGTAGAGGATGTTGCTTTTCTCAACCATGTTCCTCAGAATACTGGAAAAGAATCTAGACATGTATGTGTACACATGTATGCATGTGTATTTATATCTATATAATACTCATATATTTGTATGTATTAAATCTAGGACATATCAGTTGTAAACCTTCAGTTATCACTTCTCTTTAAGTTTCAAACTTCATGTCTCTCCAAAGTGATGTAAAATATATTGATAAATAATAAAGTCCAGTGCAAATATATGGTATTAATTTCATGCTGAAAAACTGTTTGAGGACAAAATTTTTTCCCCCAACAGTACCACTTTTACTGTCCTGGTGAAGCAAAATTTAAAAGCATTAATACTACTGTTAGAGTGGACAACGGGCAAAAGTATACACTGCTTATCAGGTAAGATAATTATTTCTTTTCCAGTTAATCTCATTAAGTAGCAAAGGCTATCCCTAACAATATTGTACTTGTCATTTCAAAATTGAGGTTATACTGATTAGTATTAACATGTGCATGTGTATGAATTAATGTTTGTCAAGCTTTTCTATATATTCTAAAAAATGTACTGAGAAAAGAATATTATAGGGATTACATTATCAATGAACTCACATAAGGAGATTTACAAAAGATCCATAAAAGCCTCATATTTTTCTCATATGGCTGTTGTAACAAATCAACTAAACTGGTAATTTCTTTTGATGAACAAAGTAAATTATATTCAGTGTAGAAAATGTGGCACTTCCAGAAAAGCATAAAGAAGGAAATTAAAATGGCCCACCACAATCCAGATTGAGTAATTAAGGTATATTATTAATATTTTCAAAAGCTATGTTTTAAGGTGACCCTATCCCCAAATGCTCATGAACATCTGAAATAAATCAGTTTGCCAATCTGATAAGTAAACTTTTCCTTTTTCTCATTTGATTTTTAGTAAATTTTAATTTTTAATATAGATGTAATGCTTTTTTGTTATGTGCCTTACCTCCCTCCACCTTTTTTATTTCTTTGAGTGATGCTGAAAACACATACCACAGCCATAAGCTGGTATGTAGATTAAATTATTTTCTGGCAATAGATTATTTAGTAAAAGGAAACATCTGTTTAAAGCCAATAAAAAGGAAAAAAAAAAAAAAAGGAAGAAGAAGAAGTCCTAAACAGAGACTGGGAAAAAAGTTAAATGAGAGGTTTTAAGGAAGTTCTATCTTCCTTAGGCCAGAACTACCCAAATTCTATTATCTAGAATACAGATTCTTACAAATGATTGACCAAAAAATAATGTATCATCAAATAAATTGAGGAAAGCCTACATCATATCTACTCCCCACCCAGAATACTCAAAATGAACATGAACATTTTAAGAACTCTGAGATGCTATTTAATAAATCATCTTTTTTCTTTTTTTTCTTAATGCTTAGTGTCACTATACTTAAAAGTGCCATGACACAGACACACATTTAATATCTTTCTCATCATTTTAATCTCCTAAATAACAAATGCTGGGGGCAGTACACTTTGGAAAATGCCATCTCAGTCGAGGTAATAATTTCCCTGGGCAGGGATGACCATCATCTGTAGGGAAGCAAGTGCATGAGCCTTGGGTGGCAGTAAGAATCAAATCATGAAGGACATAGATGGGCTCCTGAATAAAGCAGAATGACAGATTGGTATCATGAAGAGACAGAGGGAAAACCCACAGAAGCTGTTCTGGCCTCAGGCATGGCTGAAAAAGAGTAAAAAAATACATTTTTAAAAAATCATAATTATAGTTTCTTCAACAGGAATTTATATCAAGTACTAATTGTATTACATATATGAATGTATTCCTATAAACAATTATAATTATCTATACTTTTCAGATGCAAAACTGAGAGACAGGGAGATTAAGTACAGATAATGACATAACTAGAAAATGACACAATCTCAAGGCTGCTTTCACTCCAAAATCTGTAAGTTTGAAGCTACAGGCCCCATGAACCATGCTAGAGAAATGTAATATGAATTGAATTCCTGTTTTCCCCCACCAGGAAAGAACTGCTGTATGTTCAAGATCAGGTAAAGATAAGAGTTATAAATGATGTGTCCAGTAAAAATACTAGCAGAAGAAACAACAATATTAATTAACACACACTAAACAATTAACATGTACCATATGCTTTACACACACATAACTACATCTAATCATCGTAAAACTTATAATGCCTATTTTACTAGGATGCTGGGCTGCCATAACAAAGTGGCAGACAAGGTGGCTCAAACAACAGAAATTAATTTTCTCACTATTCTACAGGCAATTTAATCTCACAATTGCAATTTAGTCTCACAATTCTGAGATCAAAATGACAACAGGTTTGATTTCTTTTGAGGTCTCCTTTTGCTTGTAGATGGCTGTATTCTCTCTGTGTCTTCATATCATCTACCCTTTGTATGTGTCTATCTCCTAATTTCCTCTTGTAATAAGATCACCAGACACATTGGATTAAAGCCTACCATAATGACCTCATTTTAGCTTATTACTTCTCTGAAGACCCTATTTCCAAATATAGTCACATTCTCAGGTACTGATGGCTAGGGCATCAACATATGAATTTTGAGTGAAACACAATTCAACCCATAGCAGTCATTTTGCATATTTGAAAGCTGAGACTCATAGAAGCTGGACAACTTTCTCTATCACATTGCTAGTCAGTAAGGGAGCAAGATTAGAACCCAGATCTCCTGCCCCTTGACCTGATCATTGTTTTTACTAAACATGGACAGTCTGTATTTTTAAAGTAACAAAACACTAGTCTTCTTTAAAAGAAACATTAGATGTTTAAGATTTTTTAAATCCCAAGAATACATATTTTTCACTATCTTTATTACAAAATGTCACTTTTAAGAATACTTAACCAAAAAATCACTTTCTTTTAAGTTATATGACTATAATTTTGTTTCAATTTACATACACCATTGCTTCTTATTTTTATCAAAAATTAGTTGATACCCTGTCTATATCTGATCTAAATAATCTAAACTCAGAAATATTTCTTCTCAGGTTTTTGGTTTGTTTGAAGTAATAAAAAATTTATAGAAATATATTTTGTCCATGATTATCATCTATAAAGTACAAAAGTGAAGCTCCATTAATTTTATTTTTCAGTATCTTTAAAATATAGTCCTGGGGAAAAAAAGTCAAAAACACGAATTATGAGTTGAACACAATTCATGAATGTTGCAGCTAAAATTTTTTGACCATTTACATATTCTTCTAATAAAAGTAAATGGTGTGCACACAATTCACCCCCAGTTTTACCCTCTTTTATTTTGTTATTGTTGAAATATGGCTTTCTTCTTGAATATGAATATAGGAGAAAGGTCTTGCCTTACGTACCCTTATAGAACTGGGAAGAAAAAGGACAGCAAAATTGTGCTAGGCCCATGATGATCTATCTCAGAAAAAGCGAAACAAATATGCTCTGTGAAAAAGTAACCTGGCTCATTATTTTTGAGAACAAGGAAAGACAAGCTGTTCTGCAGAGCAGGATGGTCCTTTTGAAAAAGAAATGTGTGATTGCTTAAAATAACAAAAGCAGGAAGGAAAATATGGAGTGCTTAAAATCAGGTGAAATACAGTTTGGCATAATAAAGATACTAAAAGCACACATACTAAAAATTATTTTAGTGAGAAATTAACTATAGCTGGTGCTCATATTTTAATGAAAGGGACAGTCAAAATGGGACAAAGCAGTAAAGTTAGAAGGCAGAAAAATAGCATAGAGTATGTCATGAAGCAAAATGCAAATGGGTGAGCATTTGTCACTCCACTATTGAACACCACCAGGTAGAACATTAAGGTAGAAGGTGCTGCTGAGAAGCTGAAGATAGTGGCACATGTATTTTCTGTAAAGCACAAATATGAGAGTCTGATGTTATATTTTATTCATGTCTGTTGGTATAGTTATAATTATGCATGTGTATTGTATTAAGTTTTTAATATACTATATACTACTTATAATCATTGCATATATTACACTATAATATATATTACATTATAATTATATACTAAAACATAATTATATTAACATAATAATTGAGTTTGCCTTTAATAACAAGTGTATTATGGGCCTTTTTCCATTTAAAGTCACCGCTTAAATTCTACCTTGTCCTTGAAGAAGGGTAGAATTTGGGATTAAAAGAGAGTTAAGTTAGGCTTTTCTGACCTCCTAATCTATGGGATTTTAGATTTTTCTAAGTATCTACCAATTAAAAATACTGCCATTAATTTTAAAAAATTACTTTATTTCTTGTCTTAGATTTAAGACAACAATATCCTAATTTGAGTCAATATCTTAATTTGTAAGTAATTCACAAACACTCTGTCAGTTCTAAAACTGTCTCCTGGAGAATTTATTGGTTTGGCCCTTTGGCAGCAGGTGGTTCCTATTCTACAAACTCTGCAAAGCCAAATAACCTAGAACAAATGAGAACATCTTTAATTATCCTTGAGATAATAATTTACCAGCTATGTTTATGTACAGTCATCCACATGCATTGGATACAATAAATCATTGCATTAGACATGCAATAAATTACAAAGCATTTTGAAAAAGGGCATATGATTTATATAAACAGTAAATGACATGACACTTTAGAAGACTGACATGTACCAATGAAATCCACACACTGGCAGATATTTTCTCAAGTGATGCAGAACCAGATACAAAGCCTGAATGTCATTATATTAATTTGTTAGATGATAATAGGAGAAGGGTGTTCCTTAATTAAGTACTGGTATCAAAAGAAGAGAGGAAGGTAATAATTTGAGATTATTTAGGTAGGAAGGAATGAGAATTGGGTATGAAAATGCAGTGGTAGTCAGGTTGTATAGGTCATCAAATGCCACAGTAAGAACTGTGAACTACATCGTATGCAATAGAGTCTTACTGGAGGATATTTAAGTAAGAGATCAGATAAATAATCAAAGGAGTACTCACTGTCCTTAATAGGGTAGGCTAACCTACAGTACCCAATAGACTCTCAATGTCTGGGCTTCTCCAGATCCGCTCTACAGCTCGTTTCCCTTTTCTTTCTGCGCTGGTCCTCTGAGATTTACCTGTGTGGATTAAATTAGTGGGCTCTTTTATGGATTAAATTGGGTTTTCACAAAATTTATGCATTGAAGTGTTAACCCTCAGCAGCTCAGAATGTGTGCTTATTTAGCTACAGAGTCATTACAGAGGTAATCACATTAAAATAAATTCATCAGGGTGGGCCTTAACAAAATATAATTGGTGTTTTTATAAAAAGAGAAAATTTGGGCATAGAGAGAGACCCATACAGAAGATAGACACCATGAAGACAGAAGACAGCCACCTTCAAGCCAAAGAGAAAGGTCTAGAACAGATTCTTTCTTCATATCAAAAAAATAGGGAGGCAGGAGGGTAAAGCCTGAATGTGTATTCCTTTGACCTTGTGTTGTGTCCCATGGGTTGGTTCTCTCCCTAAAGTCAAGGTCTTTGCTCCTGGCAAATGGCCCTCTACTCTGTTCTGATAACTCCTCTCTTCCTCTAGTCTTTAGATGTAGAGATAGTGTCAGAGTAACTATGTTGTGGTCCTGGCATTCTGTACAATCCTTTGTGGCTTTTCTACTCTCTGACCACATCTTTGTGAAAAGTTCATTTATTTAACCTTACTCAAATTATATTGTTGAAGTGTTCCATGTATATTCTGCTGAGAAAATGAATTCTCCACCAGTCAGCATGGTGAAGGACTGGTGAAAGGTTTAATGGGGCAGGACTAGAAGTGGCAAATCCCACCCCTTTCTGCATTCTGTTGGCTAGAGATTAGTCACATGGAGACACTTCATGACAAGGGAAGCTGGAAAAGGTTTTCTAGCTTTGCACCCACGAGGAAGAGTACATCAGCTAAAACAAAGTGGAATAAACAAGATGAGAATTATTTCTATAAGGGAAAATATAACTGTCTACCTTTAGGATAAAAGCAAAAAATCAGTAAACACAATTTATAACACTTAGTAGTTGAATTTGAACCAAAGTGCTCATATTTCTTTTAATCTTGGTTTTTAGTGGTTTATTGCATTGCTTACAAAATATGTACTGATATATACGCTATTTATCTGTTAAATAATTATAACTTCATCAAAATGCTTAGCATGTCAGATTACATGTTTTAAATAATTGCTTCTTTCTACTTTCCATTAAACTACTCCAGGATTCACCCGGCGTACTGGCGCATAATGCCTAGGAATGAAAAATTGTTTCATCATCACATCATATACCTTCTTATGTGTTTGAGTGGTAGAAAATATTATAAAAATGCAGCAAATTGTGCATTCAAAACACAGAGCAGTCTGAAAGAAACCACAAATTTTAGTAACAATTGGAACAAAGACAATGGAAACATTATCACTAGAGTAAGCATCCAAGTTTTGCACTTCATTTGGAAGACATTAAGAATGAAACCAAGAACAGGACATGTGTCAATTAGAGCGGGAATACTTTGGCTCAGAGTGCTGGAAAATCAGTGAAGTGGAACCAAACAAACAAAAATTAGCTATTTAACTACTTTCCAAAAAATAAAAAATTTGTTTCTAATGAAATGTGTACATTATCCCATTAATCTTTTAATTAACCCCTGTCAGCAGTGTCAAGAAAAACATGACCATGGAATACTGATTTTACTTTAACTTGAACAAAATAAAAAATGAACAATTGATTTTCATTTTAAATGATAATTATTCATCCAAGGAATTGTTCCTGTATCATAAACCTATTTTTCTCTTCCTTTCCAAGTGGTATATATTCCTTTAACACAAAAGATAGAGTAGGAGTGAAATTTCATCATTTAACGTGGGAAAAGAGGATCTTAAAATGTAACCTATATAGGCCAGTTAATTAGAATAGAAATTAACCATGTTTAAGTTTTTCTTTGAGACAGGGTCTCAAGAAAGAATCCTGCTCCATCACCCAGGCTGGAGTGCAGTGGTGCTACCTTGGCTCACTGCAACCTCCACCTCTGTGATTTAAGCGATTCTCCTTCCTCAGCCTCCCGAGTAGCTGGGATTACAGGTGCCTGCCACCATGCCCAGCTAATTTTTGTATTTTTAGTAGAGACAGAGTTTCACCATGTTGGCCAGCCTGGTCTCGAACTCCTGACCTCAACTGATCCACCTGCCTTGGCTTCCCAAAGTTCTGGGATTACAGGCCTGAGCCACTGCACCTGGCCTGTAATTTTTAATTCAATTTATTCCAGTGCTCTGATAAATTGGTTACCAATCACCTTTTAGGGGCTATTTTTAAACACAAAATAATTTAAAAAGTAGGACATTTCCCATCATTTTACTTGAAAACATATTACCTATTATAAAATTACTGAAATTAATCTAACAAAATATACTGCTATTATTAATACTGTTAGTCAAATCAGAGGAGCATAGAGTAATTTTGGTTTTACTTGATACGTCCATTTAACATCAGAGTTTTGGGGTTTTTTTCTCTAGAAAAAGATATTTTTTATTATTCTGTGGAAGTTCAGCTGAAATTATGTAGCTGATGTCAGTCTATAAGTCGTCTGGACCTCAAGAGTTTTGAGAATATTTTTGGTTGGATTTTGATCAAAAAGGGCAGATGTTACCAAAAGAAGCACATAGCAGCTGCATTTATGTGGAATTACTGGGAAGCTATTGTACCCAGGCATTTTATCATATATCTGGGATATAAAAATTCAAAGTATACACAAGTCAAAGGCCTGAGTCTTATTCTTTCAGCAAAAATAATTTCAAAATATATTTTGAAAGCACTTTTTAAAACAAGATAATAATATAGGCTAGAAATAGACAATATCATAAAGTATAATTGGCTTATTTCTGCCAAATGCATGCTTTTAGTAAGAATTGGATAATGGCAATTTAGTGACATTTACTGAGCCATACAAATGTATGCCCTTTAGAGGCTCAACAACTTATGGAAACAAAGATTAGCATATCATAGTATAGGCTTCAACAGGTATC